>NC_000014.9:70823834-70975349 GCF_000001405.40 Homo sapiens | reverse complement strand
AAAACCCGTTCTTTATTATTTTCCCAACACAGCTGCTACTGTAGTTGCGTTCTTATATCTTCTAAATATCAAAATTTAAAAGCTAGCATTGTACGTTTTGTAATATTAAATTATAATGTTATTTCTAAAAACTCTTTATCTCTAATAAGCAATTATCGGTTGGTGTGATATTCACATTTCAAGGATATGAATTTTACAGAAAACTTATCGACTCTGAGCAAGTAGTTGAAAATCACTAAATCTAAGATAACAAAAGGTTTTTTTAATGCTAATGATCAAAACCAACTTCCTTCTGATAAATTAATAAAACAGAAATGTAAGTATTTCATTTTAAAAGACACAGCCAAACTTACTTTAATACATGCACTTTTTTCGATACTGCTAAACAAATATACCACAAAAGGTTTAATTTTGTCAGAAAGAATTTCGGTGGTTTCAGGAAATTTTCAGGTAAATATATTTTTTCTTACTGTTACCCATATGAAAAAGATTATATCAAAGTTAAGAGGCTCAAATCAACACAAAAAGATACATTTTTCATCGAATCAAACTTTTTTTAAAATAATTGTTATTAGTGGCGTTTAGAATAAGAAAGACATACTGCTCATGGTGGTACCAACTGGTGTAACCTTCTTAAAGCAATCTGGCAATATGGCCAAGAAACTTGAAAAGGTATTCTTATCTTGAAGGTAAGAAATTGTTGCTAAAGGATAGAGTCAAATATGCGTACAAGGTTTTTAGCACAAAGTTGTTCATGTCACCTTATTATAAAAGTTCTTAAAGCACAAAAAGTATAACAATGTCCTATAAATAACGATTGAATATGTGGTCCACTAATAATTTCATACAGGCACTAAAAACATTTTCAAAGATTATGTAATAACATGAGAAAATAATTAAGTGAAAAAGGTGGCACTGGCTGGGTGCAGTGGCTCACGCCTGTAATCCCAGCACTTTGGGAGGCCGAGGCAGGTGGATCACGAGGTCAGGAGTTCGAGATCAGCCTGGCCAACATGGTGAAACCCCATCTCTACTAAAAATACACCACTGCACACTCCATCCTGGGCAACAGAGCGAGACTCCCTCTCAAAAAAAAAAAAAAAAACAACAAAAAAAACCACAATTCCAGTTCTGTAAGTTTAAATGAATGCTAATGGTATATGGGCGTATATTTTTATAAATGCGAAAAGTGATATACCACAGTTAGCCATAAAAAGAAATAACATCCTGATACATGCCAGAATAAGGTAAATGAAAGAAGCCAGACACATTAAAAAAAAAAAAACCACATATAATTGTGTTTATATGAAATGTCCAGAATAGGCAAATTCAAAGAAACAGTAAACTAGAGGTTGTCAGGGGCTGCTTGAAGGGGAAATGGGGAGTGTAATGGGTGCAGGTTTCTTACTGGAGTAATGAAAATGTTCTGGATTTAGATAGTGGTGATGGATGCATAATATTCTAAAAACCACTGAATTATATCAAAGCAAAAAAATATGAAAAAATGATATGCAAAAAAAAGTTTATCAGTGGCAGAGGTCTAAATTTTTTCTTCATACTTAACTATATTTTCTAAAGTTAACATATATGTTACTTTTATAAACAAAAATCATACCTTCTTTCTCTCTCTGATCATCCCTATCAATTGATTATGGATAATAATCAATTATACAAACATGTTGTTATATCTCTTACAACATCTTACAAAATCGAAATCCCTCATCTTTACTTCTCCTGCTTGCTATCACCTTTACAAAAATTCACTGAAAGAGTTGTCTGTATTCACTGTCTGATTCTTCTCCTCCAATTCTCTTTGTATTCCAATTCAACTCCCCTAAGACCGTGCTTATCAAGGTCACCAACACCCCCTAAATTGTTCAATCCAATGGTCAAGTCTCAGTCTGCATGTCACCTGACCTATCGGCAGCACTTGACAAAGCTGGTCAATCCATTCTCCTTGAACACAGGTGGATAACAGTCTTGGTTTTCCTTTGATCTCACTAGTTGTTCCTACTCAGTCTCCTGGACTTCTTAAACTAAAGAGGCTCAGGGTTCACATCTTAAAACTTTTCACTTTTTCTTTTTTTTTTTTTTTTTGAGACAGAGTGTTGCTCTGTCACTCAGGCTGGAGTGTAGTGCTGCAATCATGGCTCACTGCAGTCTTGATCTCCTAGGCTCAAGCAATCCTCCTGCCTCAGCCTCTTGGGTAGCTGAGCTACAGGTACACTGCACCACACCCAGGTAATTTTTTGTATTTTTTCTTAAAGGCAGGGCTTCACCATGTTGCCCAGGCTGGTATTGAACTCCTGGCCTCCAGCCATACTCCCACCTTGGCCTCTCGAAGTGCTGGGATTATAGGGGTAAGTCACCGCACCCAGCTAGAACTTTTCACTTTTCTACCTATACTCCCTCTTTGTAAATCTTATCCAGTTTTCTATCCCCATGACAAACTGAAATTCAGAAATACCTGTAACTAGTTCCTCTACCTTCTACCCAGCCCTCATATTCCCATGGGGACGGTCTGAAGTTCTGATCTTGGATAGGGAAGGTATGAGCGAGAGGTAGGGAAACTGTAGATTATCTTAGAAGTGAAAAAGTTAAAGATATACCCCAATATCCTGTTTTCCCCCAGTCATCCTGAATCATGTGACAAAATGAGTGCCAACTAATCAACTAACTGTTAACCAACTAAAGGCTTGGATCCTTGGTTTGGATCCTGTAAATCCAAACCAGAGGAGTAAGAGTACCAAACGATATTTAAGCCAGCATGAACATTTGCCACTAGGTGGCGCCAAACCATAGCCAAGAAAAGGGATTTGGATCAAGAAGTAAAGGCCACATAAACCCCAAGCAGCTAACAAGTATGCTTGCCCTGATACTTCATCAACTTAATAATACCCAACCCCTTAACTGACATGACTGATTTTTGTTGTTGTTTTTATTTATCCACTGACAACTCCTGAATCTAAAACCCCCAACCTAGACCTCTTACCTGAAATCTGGACCTCTCTTATCTACTCATTGCTGCTTACAGGTCTAACAGCACCTGATAGGCCCTGAACTGAACCCCCTAACTTACCCCCCTTGCTCTCCCCACCCTGAATCTGCTCCTCCTCAGTCTTTCCCCTTTCAGTTGGCGGGCCCCCATCCTCCCTGATGCGTAACTCAAAAGCCTTCATCTATGACCACTACTTCTCTCACATAGTATATCCAAATCCATAACCTATCTTCTTAGTATCTTCTACACACACAGTCAGACTACTTCTCACTACTCTGATCTGTGTTCTGGATTGCTGCAATAATCTGCTGAGTGAGGTCCCTGCTTCAACTTTTGCCCCTTTTAATATATTCCTCAAAATAGGAGCCGGAGTGATTCCACTGAAATGAAATACAACCCTTTAGCAGTTCCTTATCTCACTCAGAATTAAAATTAGCACCTTTAAAATGGCTTGCAAAACTCCATACTGTTTGGCCCTTCACTTACTCTGAGCCAGCCACAATATTTCTCAAACCTGACAGGCATGCTCTTGCTTTAGGGCTTTGCCCTTGCTGTTCCCTCTGCGTGGAGGGGGCCCCTCCCCTCAGATATCCTGAGAGCTCACTCCTCCTTCTTCAGGTCTTTGCTCTCAGAGAAGCCCGCCCTCAACTACTCTATTTAAAATTAAAATTTCCCTAGTCCCCACCAATCCCTATCTTCTGTCTCTACTTACTACAGTATATGTTGATTGCTACCAGTATGATTCCATATTAATAGTAGAGAAGCCACATGAGGGTGGAACTTTTTGTCTTTTTGTTCACTGATTTATTTCCAGTACTTAAAACAGTGCCAAGAGTACTCGACAATATTTGTTAAATGTTAAACATATGGAAAAATGTTGCATGATAAAAGCAAGTTTTAAAACTATAGGCCGGGCGCGGTGGCTCACGCCTGTAATCCCAGCACTTTGGGAGGCCGAGGCGGGTGGATCATGAGGTCAGGAGATCGAGACCATCCTGGCTAACAAGGTGAAACCCCGTCTCTACTAAAAATACAAAAAATTAGCCGGGCGCGGTGGCGGGCGCCTGTAGTCCCAGCTACTCGGGAGGCTGAGGCAGGAGAATGGCGTGAACCCGGGAAGCGGAGCTTGCAGTGAGTCGAGATTGCGCCACTGCAGTCCGCAGTCCGGCCTGGGCGACAGAGCGAGACTCCGTCTCAAAAAAAAAAAAAAAAAAAAAAAAAAAAAAAAAAAAAAAACTATATAAAGTAGTATAGCATAGATTTTAAAAAGCATAATTCAAAACTAGATTTGAATTATAGGACTGTCACTTTGTAGCTGTGGGACTTTGAGCAAGTTTCTTATAATTTCTCTCTAAGCAATAACATGCTTATCTGTAAAGTGAGAATAATAACAGTGCCAACTTCAAACGTTTATAGTGAAGATTAACTGGGTAAATGCATATAAAATGCTTAGAAGAGGACTTAAACCAGGGGTTGACAAACTAAGTCCCATGAAGCCAAATCCAGCCCTCAAACTTGTTTTTATAAACCAAATTTTAGGATGGCACAGCCATGCCCACTATTTATGTATCGTTTATGACTCCTTTCACTCTACAATGGCAGAGTTGAGTAGCTGAGTAGCAAGAGAGACCACATGGCCTACAAAGCTATCTGGTCCTTTAGAGAAAAGTATGTTGACCCCAAACTTGGCCAATAGTATGCACCCAGTGCATGTTAGACATCACTGTCTATGTTAATGTATAGTTGCAAGGGTAGATTCGTGTGTATATAATTCCCAACCTACCAGACTATAAAAATCTTGTTTGCATATGGTACTTTCCAGATATAAAATAAGATATATAATCCCTAAACACAAGGGCACCAACCCCTCTGAGATTATTATCTAGTTGTTGAGACACTGTAATGGTCTCATATTACAGAAAAGGATATTATAATTCTCAAAGAAATTGATATTGACTGATTGATTGGTTGATTGACTGAGAGAGAGAGAAAGGGTCTCCCTCTGTTGCCCAGGCTGGAGTGCGGTGGCACTACCACAACTTATTGCTGCCTCAACCTCCTGGGATCAAGCGATCCTCCCACCTCAGCCTCCCAAGTAGCTGAGACTATAGGCACACACCATCATGCCCGGGTAAATTTTTTTTATTACTTTTTGTAGAGACAGGCATCTCACTATGTTACCCAGGCTGGATTCAAACTCCTGGACTCAAGCGATCCTCCTGCCTTGGCCTCCCAAAATGCTGGGGTTACAGGCATCAGCCACCACAGCCAGTTGATTCACCTTTAATTGTTTTAAAAAAGTTTCCATACCACATAGTACATACATACATACATACATACATACATATGTACCTGTATGTGTGCGTGTGTTTCTCTATTTGTGACAGAGTCTCGCTCTTTCACCCAGGCTGGAGTGCAGTCACACGATCTCGGCTCACTACAACCTCCGCCTCCCAGGTTCAAGCGATTCTCGTGCCTCAACCTCCTGAGTAGCTAGGATTACAGGCGTGTACCATTACCCTGGATAATTTTTATATTTTTAGTAGAGACAGGGTTTCGCCATGTTGCCCAGGCTGGTCTCGAACTCCACCCACCTCAGCCTCCCAAAGTGCTGGGATTACAGGCATGAGCCACTGCGCCCGGCCCACACAGTACATGTAAAGGTCTTTTCAGTTTTAGGAATGGGATATAGGGTTAGATAGGGCAGTCCACAGAAGCAAAGAAACAATGATAGGGTACTGTAATTCCAAAAAAGCACCCAAGTACAAGGCACCCAATCTCAGGTATTTCTTTATAGCAATGCACATGGACTAAGACACTATGTCAAAACTTATTGCTGTTTTTGCAGTTGGCAAGAGATGAAGCAGCTGGCATTTAGAGATCGTACTGAATGGAAAGTAACAGTTTTACATACTAGGTTATCCCTAAGCTGGGCTAGTTGGTCTGACCAACTAAAAGAATAGCAGATTCTTATCTCCCATCTCATATTCACTCTGGGGCATATGCTCATAGAATTTCTCTCTCCATGTTTATCTGGCAGAACATGTATAACTGAGTTCAAGTAAGCTAAAAGCATGTGTAACTCTGTATTACTACTATCACCATAACATTTTATGTTAATGTTTCCTTAAATATCATATTAAATTGTTATAAACTTCTGCCAAATTGTATGCAGCATATTCTACAAATTAACTCTGGTCACCACAGTATATGACATCATGGTAAAGTATAACGTTCTTACCTTGTTCTTCACTTCCTTCCTTACAAAGACTAGAACTTTGGCCCAGACTTAAACTGATATCATCAGAAGTCTTAGCAGTGTCTGTATCTCCTACAAAGTTAAGAGAAACATGTGAGGACCTTATATTAACAGTAAGGCTGTAGGGTGGCATAACCAAGGAGTATTAATACATCAAGGAGTACTAATGTCTATCAACTAAAGTAGTTTTTGTGTATCAAAGGTTACAATAATGGAAGATGCACTGAACTAGCAGGAAGTATCATGGACTATCAGAGCACTTAATTATTCTCACAGAACTACAAACCAAACAATGTGGAAAGCTTCAAAATGTAAACTAATAAAACTATTTCTTTAAAAACAAGTGGAATTTAAAAAGGAATGCAAATTACATAACTTGACCCAACATGAATTTCCTTCCCAGGGAAAATTATTAACCTAAAAAACTATAGGGTGAAAACAATACGAATTTATCTGAATAGATCAAATAGCAGAAAATAACTTGCTCTTTTTTGTTCTTTCATTTGTGGTCACATTAGAAGGTTTCACATCAAATTACTTAGTTTTCCATGAACCCCACTAAAACCCACAAAACTGTTTTCCCTCAAGGGCAAGGAAGTTTCTTATAGATCAAAACTTATGTAATTCACGCAATGTAATGTAAGTGGTCAGACACTTTTGTGAAATTTGGATGATGAAAGAGAACACAATTTAAGTCAACCAACCTTTAATAAGATAAATAATTTTATCTATAAAAGAATTTCAAGAATGATTTTTTTCATTACATTTGAATGTACAGTACTGTTATCTTCATTACAACCAAAATGAAAGGGAAAGGCAGGTGCAACTTTTAAGTTAGATCACACCTACCTTTAATAGTTGCTGCTGTTCCAAGACGCGAGGAACCAGATCCAATCTGAAAACGTGACATGAAGTAAATAAAACTAATTAAAATGCTAGCTATGTCATTATCAATACACACTAGCAAGATTATCAAACAAAATTATATGATCAAAACATGTTATCGATCATTTTTATCAATATTAGAAGATACTTGTTGGACAAGCTCTATTGGAGCCACGCAACCTGTTGGCTGCGGCACAGGCTGCGTGTGTCTTACTGATATGTGGAGCTACCCAATCCCTCTGCATGCTCAGGACTGACGGAGCCCCCCCAGAGCCAGATCCTCCAATCTCAAGCAACTCATGTCATACAATTATCATTTTTATACTACATCATGACACGTTCATGTTATAAACAAAAGCAAAACCAGGCTTTATGTCTACCTGAAATAAATTTAGACTTCTTAGGGTATAAAAGGAAGGTTTGGCAGACAAACATTAACATACACTACAAAGTGCAGCATAAGTCTAACCATCGAATTGTAAGTGTATCATTATGTACCTTCTTTAGTTGGAGACAAAAGTAAGTACTTCTTTATAGACAGAACATTAAAAAATAAATCAATAAAAGTCTAAGGCATCCATGAAAAATGAATTTTTAGCACAAACTATAAGGAGAAAATTAAAACCTGATTGTTGAGCTTTTAGTGCTTATATTCAAGATAGTTTAACACTTCCCTAAAATTTCACAGCCATTATTTATTATACTACCATGAAAATCATATAAATAAATACCACAAATTCCACAAACACATTAAGGAAACCAAAGATAACATAACAGTTACTAAATCAACAAGTCTTAGCAACTCTTCCTGTAACTCGTTTTCATGGATTCAAAGAAGAAAACAGTCAAGCAAAGTTAGCACTGTAAAATAAAATTAAGAACATTCATATACTACTTTATACTTTACCACATCTTCCTCTTCATTGGTTTGATTTAGTAGGTGTATATCACAAGAAATCACTCAAAATATAAGTTAATGTTGACTTTGAAGGGACATGAAGGCCTTTCTTGATTTGGATGGCAACTGAATGGGTGCACACAGATGTAAAAATTCACTTAGCTGTACACTGAAGGTGTGCACTACGCTGTGTAAGTTACATGCCAGTGAAAAAGTAAATAAAAATATGCATACATATATCTGTTGAAACTACAAATAAACTCTTGAGGTAGCCAATAAAAAAAAGCTTTGTAATAATTTTGAACTATTTTATTAAGCTTGGTTCTTCTAGTTTTTCCTAATTTCTGCTTTCAATTAGCCATAAAAGACATTGCAATTTGCCAGCAAGAAAAAAACCAAAAAGCATTTTATCGCAAAAGTTTCATTCTTACAACACCTGCTACATAAGTTATAGAATTAACATTTGCTATTTTTCTGCTAGAATTAAATATAACTTCCTAGACAGAAATTTAAAAACAAACAAGAAAACAAAAACACCATTTTATGCATACCCATCTAGGAATTTAAACTTAAAAAAAAAATTTTTAAACACGGATATGGTAGTCATTTGCTCAGAAGCTCAAAGTATTCCCTTTCTCCTTCTTTAACAATCTCCCTATTTTGTTCCAAAATTGGTCATACACCTTCTGATATATGAGAAGTACACCCAGTCCCTGGTCTAGAGGTAGGTGTATGAACTAGTTCTGGTGAATGAACGTGTGGGAGAATCTGCTGGAGGGCTTCAGGAAAACGTCTTTGTGTGTCTGAGAAGAAAGTGATCAAGGAAAATCTCTGTCCCACACTACTGCTTGCTTCCTAACTTTTCAAACAGGGTCTTGATTGAAGCTGCTGTGCTCATCCTGCAACCCTGAGAAAAAAGCCTAGAGAACTGCAGAGATGCCAATCCAGAGGCCTAACGTTAGGCTGCTGAACACAAATGCCACACAATCACCTCCAGATTTAGGTGAAAAACAACTATTTCTTTAAGTCACTATTAGTTGAGTATTCTATTACTTGTTGACAAAAACATTCTTAACAGGTATAATAGAGTGGTTATATTTTATTCTTCATACTTTTCTGCATTATGCTTCCCCTCAAAAAGAATCATGACTATTTACAAGTGAAACAACAGGGCTCCAGAATATAAACTATAGTATATCCAAATGCAATGCATTCCCCAAAGTGTCACTGTAGAAAAACACTTAATGATATTAATGCTCATGATACAATCAATTATGACATAGATTATTTTAATTTTCCTGTTTGCCCTCACTCATTAAATTTCCTAAAAATGAAAATGTAAAGATTAAGAAAAAACAGTATCTTTTTACACTTGAGGGTGAAGTTTTTTATTTAAGTGCTTTGCATAAACTAAAATATTCCACTGTTTCTTCTCTATGACAAGTGCCATAGGAAGGATTATGGATACCAGGGAAGAAAGGTTACTTCTAACTAGAGAGCATATCAGGCAAGGCCACCTGCCCCAAGAAGCCATGCCTGTCTCTCCAGCTGGAAACAATTATTTTATCCTATGAAATCATTAGCTCTTCTTCTCTACCATTCCTATGGCAATTTTTACTTCGTTATCTTTTTTTTTTTTTTTTTTTTGAGACGGAGTCTCACTCTGTTGCCCAGGCTGGAGTGCAGTGGTGCCATCTCAGCTCACTGCAACCTCCACCTCCCGGGTTCAAGCAATTCTCCTGCCTCAGCCTCCTGGGTAGCTGGGAATACAGGTGCATGCCACCACACCCAGCTAATTTTTTGTATTTTTAGTAGAGACGGAGTTTCACCATACTAGCCAGGCTGGTCTCAATCGCCCAACCTCGTGATCCACCTACCTCGGCCTCCCAAAGTGCTGGAATTACAGGCGTGAGCCACCGTGCCTGGCCCCTTGGTAACATATATCACATCTTTATCTTTGGTTACTTATATCACACCTACTATGAGATCACAATCTCTTTCAGTATAAGACCCACTCCCCAACCCACACTAAGTAGAATGCCTTGAATACTATTGGGCGCTAAAATATTTGAAGGTAGAAAAGTGACAAAAGGAAAGAGAAGGAGGTAAGGAGAGGAATGAAAAGAAAGAATGGAAATGATGGGTAGAAGATGAAAGGGAGAAAGGCAGAGGTGAAGGAAAGAATAGTAACAATGACCACGATGTAGCTACTATGGTCAGTGGGTTCACTGTTTAGTACCCAACAAATTTATATAAAATATGATAATGTGTAGCAGTATCTTACACATTATATAATAAAATACATACAAGAAACAACAGTATGTCTATAATGGTAATATCTCCAGCAATATGCAAAAAGCCAGACTCTTCCTCCTCACTTCAGCTTCTCTAAAGTGTAAGAATAATTATGTCAACCATTTATTTTGTCATAAACAGTATAAAACGAAAACACTAAAATCCAAGTAGCACAATAACCTCCAATATTTGCCCATTTTTATTAAAAAGTTATTAAGTAAAAGGTATGCTGTGTGTTTAACAACATGCACACATGCTTTAATCACAGTCAAAAAGGGACTCCCTCCCTAAAACAAACAGGCAAGTTCCAACAGACACGATGCCAAGGTCACAGGATCCAAAAGTGCCTGGCCACTGCTGGCCCTTTCATCTTTCCTTTTTGTAAAAAGGAAAAAAGGTCTCCAAAAGATGATTGGAGAAATGTAGGCTTACTCTCTGGGGGTCTGATACTACCTACGTCTGTCAATAAGAAGAAAGCCCAGGGTTAATTAAGAATACAAGACATGCAGCCATATTCAAGAATTGAGTTATTTCATTCTATAAAAAGAGACAGAGAAACACAAGGCCAACAAAAAAACAGGATCAAGGATAGTAACCCTTGTCTTCAAACAGGCATTGTAAAATTTGAAACAAAAAGTATCAATCTAAGGCTGGGCATGGTGACTCACATCTGTAATCCCAGCACTTTGGGAGGCTGAGGTGGGCAGACCACCTGAGGTCAGGAGTTCGAGGTAGTCTGGACAACATGGTGAACCCCATCTCTACTAAAAATGCAAAAAAATTAGCCAGGTGTGGTGGCAGACACCTGTAATCCCAGCTACTTAGGAGGCTGAGGCACGAGAACAGCTTGAACCTGTGAGATGGAGGTTGCAGTGAGCCAAGATTGTGCCATTGCACTCCAGCCTGGATGACAGAGCAAGATTCTATCTCAGAAAAAAAAAGTATCAATCTAATTAATATGTCATAGCTCTTTTCACATTCTTTAAACAAACAAACAACAACAACAAAAAAACTCTTGACATCTCCCATTCCATAAGCTTGTTATGGAAGGAAGATAAATTTAACAACCTACATGTTCTGTACTCACTAGATCAGTCCGAATGAGCCGCATGATACAGTGATGAACACACAAGAGAACAGTCGCCCTGGTCAAGTTATTTGTATCTGTATTCTTTAAGTAAACAGAATTTAACTAGAATACTAACTTGTTTTACAGAACTGGAAACCTAAGATTTTAGATCTGTACATGTTTAGAAGGCCAAGGTTAAAAAAAGAAAGTGATGCTATGTAGTAACGATACAGAAAGACAAAAGAGAGAAAGGTACTAGGTTCAAAACTGTTACCTTTAATAGTTTAGTCATTCACTTTAACTTTAAATCATGAACATGCTAATCAGAGTCAAATCTTCTATCAAAATATATTAGAAAACAAGACCCTGTTCAAGATTTTGATTCATATAGTGTTTTTCATAACATTGTTCTTAAGGCTACCAATGCAGAAGAGTAGAATACTACAGGACAGAGTTGGCAGAATTATATCTGCTATTTACTCATTTGTTAAATGAGAAGCTAGGTCTGATCTACCTCTAATGTTTTATTACCTAGTCACATAAGGATAATTAGCAATCATTAATTTAAAGTCAACTGTACACAAGGCAGTATATAAGACAGAAGAAAAAAAGAGGAAAATCTACTCTGTAGAGCCTTGTAAAGTGCCATATAAATAAGTACTCATCTGCAAAAGAAAGGGTCAACACCATAAGGTGTTTGAAAATCTTGAGAAATGTAGGATAGTTACAAGAAGAGTTAGACCAGAAAATAAAGATGACTAAGTCTGTCTCTAGAACAGAAAGCAGGCAGAAAAGAGAAGAATGGTTTCAATCCACAATCTGTGTCATATGATAACAAGAAGACTGGAGTGAGAAGTGCGGTCTAGTCCAGACCCTGATATAAATCAGCTATTTCTTCTTCTATATAATGAAAAGACTGACATAGCAACTACTAAAACCTATAGTTATGTAAAGGTCTGCTAAGAGAAGACCATGAACGTTTCCAACAAAGTTCATAGAATTTTACTCTACCCAATGAAATCATCTGCTGAGAAGGACAGCAGGAGTAACTGGGGCTTTGATTAGTGTACGGGTATTTAGGATGAATAAGAGGACTAGAGCAGCAAAGGTCCAGCCAAGTTTTGAAATAAAACTTCAAGAGTTACCATTTTAAAAGTTACATAGTAGAAAGACATTAAAATTGATAAAAGCAAATTTGTATTTTACTTTTAGCCTTACCATTAAACATCTTGAACACTGAGAGATTTTCAGCATTTATTTTTATTTTTTGGCCACGTTTAAACTGGGGGTAACCACAGACATCTACACCTCTCTAATACACATGATGTGAAGATAGCGCAAGCTAGAAGCTAAATTTCCTAAGGCTATTCACAACTGTCATAATCAAAACTATACACCCAAAGATGAGTCTGTGGTAATGCTCAACAAATCTGTAATTAATCAATGTGAAAAGTAACTTAAAAAGAATATTAATAAAAGATGTTATTAATAAGCAATTAAAAATAATAATCAGAAAGATATGACAAAACATCAGCCGACTTAAAGACACGAGAATAACGGAGACCACCATCAGGAGGAGGGAAAAAGGCAAAATAAAACAGCGCAGGTTCCTACCTGGTTGCTTGGATCTAGACCGGCATAAGAATTTCTGGAACTGCAACCAACTGGGGGTGTGGCCTCTCGGATGAACTCAGACATTTCAATCCCTCCACCAGGATCACTGTGGAGAAAAAAATGAGAAAAAGAGTAACTGTCATTATTCTGACTCCAATGCTTTTCCTTTGTTAATTTTTTAAGTTATACTTTTTTCCACAAAACTAAGAGGTTCTGATTTTTAATCCAGCAAATAGCAAAAAAGGTAAACAACGATCATTCTTCATTTACAAGTCTGATACTTGGAACTATTTTATAACCACATCACTACTTGAAAATATGTATAACTCTCTTATTCCAAACTGTCTACATCAAATCCAACATTAGAAACTGGCATTAATTACAATTATAGCATACTAAATATGTTACGATACGTGCCATCAAACCACTCTCACAAAGAAATGATTGCCTTTTGCTTCCCTAGAGCAAAGAGAAATTGTTCAATTGTAAACACAGAATGTAATCAGATATTACATTAACGAATCCCCTCGAGATCAGTCTCAATGAGCCGCATGATACAGTGATGAACACACAAGAGAACAGTCGCCCTGGTCAAGCTATTTGTATCTGTATTCTTTAAGTAACCAGAATTTAACTAGAATACTAACTTGTTTTACAGAACTGGAAACCTAAGATTTTAGATCTGTACATGTTTAGAAGGCCAAGGTTAAAAAAAGAAAGTGATGCTATGTAGTAACGATACAGAAAGACAAAAAAGAGAAAAGTACTAGGTTCAAAGCACTGGAGAAGCCCAAACACAGTACTTAAAGATAACAGGATTAATTTTTGTATAAGGTGTAAGGAAGTGATCCAGTTTCAGCTTTCTACATATGGCTAGCCAGTTTTCCCAGCACCATTTATTAAATAGGGAATCCTTTCCCCATTGCTTGTTTTTCTCAGGTTTGTCAAAGATCAGAGAGTTATAGATATGCGGCGTTATTTCTGAGGGCTCTGTTCTGTTCCATTGATCTATATCTCTGTTTTGGTACCAGTACCATGCTGTTTTGGTTACTGTAGCCTTGTAGTAGAGTTTGAAGTCAGGTAGCGTGACGCCTCCAGCTTTGTTCTTTTGGCTTAGGATTGACTTGGCGATGTGGGCTCTTTTTTGGTTCCATATGAACTTCAAAGTAGTTTTTTCCAATTCTGTGAAGAAAGTCATTGGTAGGTTGATGGGGATGGCATTGAATCTATAAATTACCTTGGGCAGTATGGCCATTTTCACGATATTGATTCTTCCTACCTATGAGCATGGAATGTTCTTCCATTTGTTTGTATCCTCTTTTATTTCATTGAGCAGTGGTTTGTAGTTCTCCATTAAGAGGTCCTTCACATCCCTTGTAAGTTGGATTCCTAGGTATTTTATTCTCTTTGAAGCAATTGTGAATGGGAGTTCATTCATGATTTGGCTCTCTGTTTGTCTGTTATTGGTGTATAAGAATGCTTGTGATTTTTGTACATTGATTTTGTATCCTGAGACTTTGCTGAAGTTGCTTATCAGCTTAAGGAGATTTTGGGCTGAGACAATGGGGTTTTCTAGATATACAATCATATCACCTGCAAACAGGGACAATTTGACTTCCTCTTTTCCTAATTGAATACCCTTTATTTCCTTCTCCTGCCTAATTGCCCTGGCCAAAACTTCCAACACTATGTTGAATAGGAGTGGTGAGAGGGCATCCCTGTCTTGTGCCAGTTTTCAAAGGGAATGCTTCCAGTTTTTGCCCATTCAGTATGATATTGGCTGTGGGTTTGTCATAGATAGCTCTTATTATTTTGAGATACGTCCCATCGATACCTAATTTATTGAGAGTTTTTAGCATGAAGTGTTGTTGAATTTTGTCAAAGGCCTTTTCTGCATCTTGAGATAAAGGCCTTTTCTGCATCTTGAGATAATCACGTGAAGATGGATTAAAGACTTAAACGTTAGACCTAAAACCATAAAAACCCTAGAAGAAAACCTAGGCTTTACCATTCAGGACATAGGCATGGGCAAGGACTTCATGTCTAAAACACCAAAAGCAATGGCAACAAAAGCCAAAATTGACAAATGGGATCTAATTAAACTAAAGAGCTTCTGCACGGCAAAAGAAACTACCATCAGAGTGAACAGGCAACCTACAAAATGGGAGAAAATTTTCGCAACCTACTCATCTGACAAAGGGCTAATATCCAGAATCTACAATGAACTCAAACAAATTTACAAGAAAAAAACAAACAACCCCATCAAAAAGTGGGCGAAGGACATAAACAGACACTTCTCAAAAGAAGACATTTATGCAGCCAAAAAACACATGAAAAAATGCTCACCATCACTGGCCATCAGAGAAATGCAAATCAAAACCACAATGAGATACCATCTCACACCAGTTAGAATGGTGATCATTAAAAAGTCAGGAAACAACAGGTGCTGGAGAGGATGTGGAGAAATAGGAACACTTTTACACTGTTGGTGGGACTGTAAACTAGTTCAACCATTGTGGAAGTCAGTGTGGCGATTCCTCAGGGATCTAGAACTAGAAATACCATTTGACCCAGCCATTCCATTACTGGGTATATACCCAAAGGACTATAAATCATGCTGCTATAAAGACACATGCACACGTATGTTTACTGCGGCACTATTCACAATAGCAAAGACTTGGAACCAACCCAAATGTCCAACAATGATAGACTGGATTAAGAAAATGTGGCACATATACACCATGGAATACTATGCAGCCATAAAAAATGATGAGTTCCTGTCCTTTGTAGGGACACGAATGAAATTGGAAATCATCATTCTCAGTAAACTATCGCAAGAACAAAAAACCAAACACCGCATATTCTCACTCATAGGTGGGAACTGAACAATGAGAACACATGGACACAGGAAAGAGAACATCACACTCTGGGGACTGTTGTGGGGTGGGGGGAGGGGGGAGGGATAGCATTAGAAGATATACCTAATGCTAAATGACGAGTTAATGGGTGCAGCTCACCAGCATGGCATGTGTATACATATGTAACTAAACTGCACATTGTGCACATGTACCCTAAAACTTAAAGTATAATAATAATTAAAAAAAAAAAAAGATAACAGGAACCCAGATTTACGGGGAAAAAACCACACACCAAATTTCACAAAACTTAGAAAATGCTACATAAGGTTCCTCAGGAAGACAACTCTTAGAATAAGTCATAATCCTACTTTTTGCCCAGAGTTTTTTACTAATTCTACCTGGTATAAACAGAGTAAGTAGTCAATAGTCTATATATAATCTTTTTTTTTTTTTTTTGCTATTATCTGGATAAAAGTTACAATATATGTGTTGGACATTACAGAGGATATATCTTGCTATCTGGCATCCAATTCAACCTCCTGATTATGTAAAAAAAAAAAAAAAAAAAAAAAAAAGCAACCCCAAATTCTTCAGGTGAACCACCTCATCTCAAACTCTCATAGGTTTTTGGGTAATGTTGACCCCACCCTCAGGTTTAGGGGTGGGCTCTACTGTCCAGTCATCAGCATATCCCATTGTTCTGGTCATTGAGATTAGCTCTAGAATAAGCACAGGACCCAACCCAGGCTAGTTTGAATCAGGCCAGGAGTGTCTTATTGGTGGGAGGAAATTTCTCTATATCTGCTACTCTTAATGTTGAGACTTAAGGCCTGGAGGTGCTGCAGCCATCTTATAACCATTAAGGGGCAGCCTGTTCTAAGAAGCCAAAATAATAGAAAAGAACAGAGACTGGCGAGAAGAAGAGAAGCAGGGACATGAAGTGACAGTTTGAAACGTTGCATCCTGACACATCTGAAGACATCCCTCATGTGCAGACTTTTCAGTAATGTGAGTAGTAAATTCCCTTAAACTTTTTTGGGTATTCTGACAGCTGCAATCAAAAGATATAGGCAATATATAATTTTCCATTTAAGTATTTAACATTATAGCAGTTTGAACTCTAGTGTGTTTTTATTATCAATTATCTCATAATTATAATGTCCCTGTTTGCGTAACAGGTTCCTAACTCTAAGCCATTGACTACAGTAGCTAACTAAGGTTCAACAAAGAAAACTAGCTTTCTAACTTACTATCCATTTATAAAAATAAAATATATTGGAACTCAGGTAAACATATGGCCAATTCAGTATACAAATACTCATGTGTGAGAAATGTAGAACATGTTCATGTTTATAAGCTGTCTGGTGTTAACTCATATAAGCTATGTAGGACAGAGGAGAAATTTTTCTAAATTGGAAAAACTTTAAGTATGTATATAGAGGCACTATCACCACATTAAATTAGTAATGAATATTCAAATATTCAGCAATATTATGGTTTCTCCACTAGAATGCATCCTCTAAGTGAGATCCAAAGAAAACAGAAGATGGAGAGCAAAGTACAGATTAAGAAATAACAACACAGAAAGGAGAGACAGCCCTCATCTTGCCTAGTCTCTCTCTCTCTCTCTATATATATACACACACATACATACACACACACATATACATACACATATGTCAACTTTATTGAAATATGATTCACATATCGTACAGTTCACCCTTTTAAGCTGTATAATTCAATGGTTTTTAACGTATTCATTAAATTATGAAACCACCACCAAAGCCAATTTTAGACCACTTTTATCACCTCAAAAACAAACCCCTTTAACCATTACTACCCGTCCCTTTCCATCCTCCTTAGCCCTAGACAACCATTAATTTACATTCTGTCTTTACAGATTTCCCTGTCCTGGACATTCTATATAAATGGAATCATATGTGATGTTTTGTGTCTGGCTTCTTTCACTTAGCATAATGTTTTCAAGGTTCATCCACGTCGTAGCATGCATCAGTATTTCATTCCTTTTTATAGCCAAGTAATATTCCACTCTATGGATAAACCACATTTGTTTATCCAGTCATCAACTGATGGATAATCTTGCCTAGTTTTATACATCACTTTTGATAGCAAGTCCAAATTATTACAATCTGAACATACAGTTATTATTAATAATACATAAAAACAGGCTGGGTGTGTGGTTCATGCCTGTAATCCTAGCACGCGGGAGGCCAAGATGGGCAGATCACTTGAGCCCAGGAGTTCGAGACCAGACTGGGCAACATGACAAAACCCCATCTCTACAAAAACATTACCCAAGTGTGGTGGCATGTGCCTGTACTCCCAGCAACTCAAGAGGCTGAGGTTAGTAGACAGATTTAGCCCGGGAGGTAAAGGCTGCAGTGAGCTATGATTGCACCACTGCACTCCAGCCTGGGCAACAGAGCAAGACCCTGTCTCAAAATAATAATAATAATAATATAATAAAAACAAATATTTACTCAGTACTTATTATATCCAGTCATAGCAGTACGTGCTTTATTTGCATTTTCTGATGAAACCTTCCCTAATATTTATGATATGATTCTCCTCTTACAGTTATTATTCTCCTCTTACTGTTGAAAAAACTGAAAACCAAAAGGCAAAAAAACTTGCCTAACGTCTCAGAGGAGGAATGAAACATAAACTGAGTCACTGGTACCTGGAGTTCACGTGGGAGGGGAGGACAGAAATAATACCTCCTCAGCATTCTGCAAATAAGTTATCATATCTGTTCTTTCTTTATTTCCCACACACTTGAACACACGTACTCATAACCAGCATGGCCTAAGATAAGGCTCAAAAACCAGGTCTGTGAAACCCTAAAGCCCACATTCTTGCTTTTTTTGTGTTTTTGTTTTGTTTTGTTTTTTTAAGAGACAGGGTCTTGCCCTGTCAGCCAGGCTGGGGTGCAGTGGTGCAATCATAGCTCACTGCAGCCTCAAACTCCTGGGCTCAAGTGATCCTCCCACCTCCGCCTCCTGAGTAGCTGGGGCTGCTACATGCCCATGCCACCACACCCGGCTAATTTTTTATTTATTTATTTATTTTTTTGGTAGAGACAGAGTCTCACTGTATTATCCAGGCTGGTCTCAAAACCCTGGCCTCAAGGGATCCTCCCACCTTGGCCTCCCAAAGTGCTGGGAATACAAGCGTGAGCCACTGCGCTTGGCCCTTATTCTTTCTAAGAAAACATACTGCCTTACACCAAATAGGCACTAGTCTCTTTCCAGGTCAAAACCGAAAGTAAACACCATTATTTAGAGCAGGGATTTTAAAACTCAGTACTATTGACATTTTGGGGGCAAATAATTTTTGACTGCATTGTAGGATGGCTAGCAGCATCTCTGGCCTTTACCCACTAGATGTCAGCAGCAGCCCCTCAGTGTGACAACCAAAAAAAGCTCCAGACATTGCTACATGTGCCCTGGGGGACAAAATTACCCCCAGTTGAGAAATAATGATTTAGAACTAATGGTCAACAAACAACAATGTGTGGGAAGAAAGGAGATATCAAAGGAATAAAAATGATGAAGAGAAAAAATGAACAGGGGTTTTCATTTAAAAAAAAAAACCCTCTAGTAAAATTTCTGCACTTCTTTCTTCTCTATAAATTCAGAAGTAAAACTCTTAGCCAAGCTGTAGATGTTCTAAATATAGCTAAACATATAAAATAGCTGAGTAAGAGTTTTCTTTATTGGCAAGACTTGCAGGTTTGCAGCAATGGAGATTTCAGCACATACCTGGAAAGCATAGTAGTTTATAATTCTCACAGTAGCAAAGTGGTCTACTGCAGTAAGCAATACAACAAATTCAGGTAATATCTACCTTTATGCCTTAACTTCCCCATCTGTTAAGAAAAAAAACAAACCAGGTACAGGGAAAGGCAGAAAAGCAGAAGGGATCTAATCTGAATTACAGAGAAGTCTTCACAAACTAATTTGTTGATTATTAGTATCATATTTATTGCTCATGCTCTCAGGCTTTGATCAGAAACTTTGCAACACCATTACAATACCAAGTTTGTAAATCTGGAGTAAAATGATGCTCATAAGAATAAGGATAAAAACGAAGTTCCTATATTCACAGGAACAAAGTTCCTAAACAAAATAATCTCTCTCAGAAAACAGCCTAAAATCCAGCTTCATACAGTTTAAATTGATCCGTAGTTTACAATATCATAAGCATTACTGCCATGAGAAACATACAGAAACCATGATCTTTCTTCAAATGTTTGTATTCAAATCCTAAAATTCAATGTTACTTCCTGAAGCATTAGAAATATAAAAAAAATTAGTGACTGATTCTTTCTCTAAAAGATTGAACCATTTTTTACCTGCTGTACCACATAAAAGAGAGACCAATGAAAACCATAAAGCTCAAGTAGTTCTGCTATATTTATTCATTCACACAACAAACTGAGAGCCACAATGTACCACGCACAGTGATAGGATCTAGATACACAAGTATTTATTTTCCTATTCATTTCTTTTCCTCAGAACAGAACATGAGATTCACAAGTGTGAGGGTGAGGAAAGGAGATGTCAAAAACAAAAACCTACAACAAAGATCTTACTTACTAGTGAAACTTAAAAATATTAAAGATTAGAAAAAAGACAAGGATGTACACCAATAATACTTCAATTTAACCATGTGCTACATATCATAGCCAGTGAAAAAAATTAAACAAGAAGTATAAGGACTAGAAAGTAAGAAATAATTGTGATCATATAGACAAGGGAACATCATTAATAAGGGGGTTTAATAAGATTGCTAGACACAAAATAAACTGCGACATTTTAGGGGGAAAAACAAAATTATACTAGCATAAATACTATAAAATCATAAATTTCCTTTTAATGGAGAAAATGAAAAACTATTACTGAAAGGTATTTAAAAAGACTAAATAAATGGAGAGATTCAATATTGTAAAGATGCAAATTCTCAGCAGAGGGACCTACAAATTTAGTGTAGCTCCAATAAAAATACCAAGTTCCTATAGACTTTCTCTAGCAGACTCTGAAGTTTACATCAAAAATCAAAGAGCCAAGAATAGCGAAGTCTCTCCTAAAAAAGAATATGGTAGGAGGTTTAACCCACTGGCTATCAAGAGTCATGTTTTAAAGCTGATAAGGATGGTATGGTAATGGCACAGGCAAGCAGATCAACAGAACAGAACAGAACAGAACAGAGAGCCCAGAAACAAGCCACCAGAAATGAAAATTTAGCTTATGCCATAGAGACTGCTGCAAATTACTAAGGAAAAGATAGTCCACTTAACAAATACTGGGTAAATCAGAGATTCATAAAGAAAAAAATAAGCCTTAAGAACCTACCTGATACTACAGACTTAAATAGCTTTGGGTAGAATTGAAATGTGAAAACAAAAGAAACATGAAACTTCAAAAAGACAATACAGAATACCTTTCTGATCTCCGTGTAGAAAATAATTCAGACACAAAAATGCTAGCCAGGCGCGTGGATCACGCCTGTAATCCCAGCACTTTGGGAGGCTGAGGCGGGTGGATCACCTGAGGTCAGGAGTTTGAGACCAGCCTGGCCAACATGGTGAGACCCCAACTCTACTAAAAATACAAAATTAGCCAGGTGTGGTGGCACATGCCTGTAATCCCAGCTACTGAGGAGGGAAGGCAAAAGACTAGCTTGAATCCAGGAGGCAGAGGTTGCAGTGAGCTGAGACTGTGCCACTGCACTCCAGCTTGGGCGACAAAAGTGAAACTCCAATTCATTAAAAAAAAAAAAAAAAAAAGAAAGAAAAAAACACAAAAAACAAAAAACCTGATTACTAAAAAGTGGTAAATTTCATTGTTCTAAATTTAAGAGTATATGATAATCATAAGAAACTTTAAGGAAAGCAAAATGACAAGCCACAAGTGGGAGATGACTGTAATATATACATAACTAATAAAGGAATAGCATGAATATATAAAAAAATAAAAAATTCCTATTAATCATTAAGAAAAAGACAGCTCCAAAGAAAAATGAAACAAAACATAAATGAGCATTGGAAAAAAGAAAAAACCTAAATGGACCATATATAAAAAAATAAAATGTTTAACCTCAGTAGTAATCAGAAAGCTTAACTGAAAGTCACAATGAGACACCTTTTACATTTCATGAATGGCAAATTTTTTCAAGACAGGGTCTTGCTCTGCCACCCAGGCTGGAGTGCAGTGGTGTGATCAAAGCCCACTGAACTCTTGAACTCCTGGTCTCAAGTGATCCTCCTGCCTCAGCCTCCCAAGTATCTGGCACTACAGGTGCACACCACCATACCTAGCTAAAATTTTTTTTTATTTTTTATTTTTTGTAAAGACAAGGTCTCACTATGTTGCCCAAACTGATCTGGAACTCCTGGCTTCAAGCTGTCCTCCCATCTCTCCCTCCCAAAGTGCTGGGATTACAGGCAGGAGCCACCTTGCCCAGCCAATTTTCTTCTTTTAAATCCCAAATCAATAGCTAAGTGAATGGAAAATTTTTAAGGTTTACCAATATCAAATGTTGATGAAGATGTGAACAATAAGGACTTTCATACACTACCGGTGAGAGTATAAACTGGTAAAATCATTTTGGCACACAGCTTGGAATTGCCTGATAAAATTGAACATGAAAATGCCCTATAAACCAGCTTACATAAACTAGATATACACATGTACCACAAGACAAAAAACACTAGAAATAATCTGAATGGCTATAAATAGAAGAATGAATAAATAGACTATGGTCTATTCTTACAGTGGCAGACTACATGTAGGTCAATATGAATAAACTCTAGCTACAAACATCACCATGCGTGAGTCAATAAAGTATAATATACTGTGCAAAAAAAAAATCTCTCATAGAGAAATGCATACTGTATGATTCTCTTAGGATGTCCTAAAGCAGACAAAAATAAATAAATATATTCAGGAATATCTACGAAGAGTGTGTAACAATAAAGAAAAGCAAGGGAGTTATTCACAAAAAATTCAAGATTATGGTTACTCCTGAAGGGAAAAGTGGAATGAAATGGGAGAGGAATGTCATGAAGCTTATATGGTATTTTTATAATGTTTTATTTCTTAAGCTGTGTGGTAGGTAATGAAGTAGTCACTTGATTATTGCTAACTTAGTGTTTGGAATACATATTTCACAATAAAAAATTTTTAAAGTAAAAGAAAATGGAAAAAACAATTCAGAAGCAATGACAAATATATATAATATCCAGAAATAATTAGAACAATTATCAAGTGTTACCATGTGTCAGGAATTATTCTAAGAACTCTCTATATATTATTTCATTTATTCATTGTAATAATCCTATGAGAGAGTTCCATTATTTTCCTCATCATTCTGACAAGAAAGCCAACTCAAAAGCTTAAGTAGCTTCTCCAATGTCTTACAATTAAGAAGCCTTGACTGACTGAGTGTGAAGTCTACATTCTGTCCACTTATCCACAATGTACGAATATGCATTTCTTAACAGAAATAGAATAGGCGTAGGAAATGTACAGAAACCATTTAAAAAATGTGAAAGGTTATAAGACATAAAAGATAAGTGAATAAAGAGATGATAAATAAAAACATAAGAAAATAAATGGAAATCTCTCATCTATATCCCTATTTTAAAAGTTGAGTTTCTACAATTTAATAGAATTGTCATCAAAATTCTAACGAAATTTTCTGGAGGATAAGCACACATGAAGATATCTCACAAAAGTAAGTATATGCATGAGAATAATCAAAATAATATCAAAAAAGGTCAGGTGTGGTGGCTCATACCTGTAATCCTAGCACTTCAGGAGACCGAGGCAGGCAGATTACCTGAGGTCGGGAGTCCAGCACCAGCCTGGCCAACATGATGAAACCCCGTCTCTACTAAAAATACAAAAATTAGCTGGGCGTGGTGGTGCATGCCTGTAATCCCAGCTACTTGGGAGGCTGAGGCAGGAGAACCGTTTGAACCTGGGAGGTGGAGGTTGCAGTGAGCCGAGATCGCACCACTGCACTCGTCTGGGCAACAGAGCAAGACTCCATCTCAAAACAAACAACCAACCAACCCCCGCCCCCCAAAAAAATAATAATATCAAAAAAGTAAAATACTGGAGTCACTCACAATGCTAAGTATTAAACATATTATAAAGCCACTATGATAAAAACAGTATGGTATAAATGAAAAAAGGCAGAAAGATGAAGCAGAAAACTAAGTTCAGAAACTAGCATAAGTATATACAGTATACTACATGAAAAAGAAAGCATCTAAATTTACAGGGAAAAAATTTGTTACTTAATGAATGGTGTTGTGATAAACAAACCTAAACAAATTAAGTTAAAATGTTTTCAAACTGACAACAATTTAAGAGTAAAAAGTAAAATGATAAAAATACTGAAAGTAGATACAAAGATCTTAATTTATTGTATATTTATATAATTTGAGGGAAGGAAAATCTTAGAAAACGTTATCAAAAGCAGAAATAACAAACACACAAAATTGGACCACAGAAAAATAAATTACAGGATATAAAGACACTGACAAATAAAATGCTATAAACTGAGGAAGAGTATTTGACACAGAAGAGCTAATATATTTTATTTAAAAAAAGTTCCAAAATCAATAGCAAAAAAAAATCCACCAATAGAAAAATATACAATTCACAGAATAACAAATATAAATGGCAATAAGAAAAATACCTCCATTTCACTAGTAATTCAAAAACGGGAATATTAAACAATAATTTATTTACATATTAAACAATATTAAACAATGAGATATCACAGTTTTTCAAAATACTAAATACTCAAGAGTTGTCAAAAGTGCAAAAAAAAGAGGCAGCTGAATTTCTGGTCATAGTCATTAAATGGTAAAATCTTGGGAATTTGGCAATACATATTGGAAAACTTATAAATGTGCATAGCATTTCTAGTAATTCCACCTCTGAAAAACTATGATAGAACATTTAATCATTGAAAATTTAAACATCACAGTTATCTAATATTTAAATTTCAAAATGATTGATATAATTTAAAATAGGATAAAATACATTGGCATAATGAGATACTGTGCATCATTAAACATAATATCACAGAATAATCGTTTTCACTACTTCAAATATTTGCTGAGTACCTATCATTGCCAGACACTGATTTTGGAACTGGGAATATAATAGTTTATAAGAACAATAAGGTCATTACCTTCAAGAAGTTCATCAATGCAAATAAATGTTAAGATAATTTCAGATAGTGATTAAGGCAATAAACAAAAATTATGAGGCTAAAATACGTGTTTAATTAACAAACAGGGTACTCATGTTAAGAATAAGGAAAAAAATGTAATTGAAAAGGAATAAACAAAGGCTTTCAATGCCCTGGAAAATATACAGAAATATCACCTGTCTTAAGAGAGGAGTGCCCACTTTTTCTTACATTATTTATGTCTTGATGTCTGAAATATTTCATATTATGCTCAGTGGAAACAACTGCTTAGATTATTTGATCTTTCTCAACTTGGTTTCCACATCTGTAAATCAGGGATAATAACAGCATCTACCTGCTAGAATTGTTTTGAGGTATGTCAAGTGTTCACAAATTTTCCAAGAGTTATATTAGGGGTACCTATTAATTTCTGTAAGGTCACAAACTTTTGACTATGAATAAAGTAGACACTTCTGTCAAATAGGTAAAGTGGAAAGTGGGCAAGGCCAAGGTCATGCTACAGAATGTGACTGAGCAACAGGGGGATCACTTCAGCTGGGATGGGAAAGGAAAGCCTCCAGGAGGAGTTGACATCGAATCACAGTTGAATCCTAAGAAGTCAGTCTTGCAAAGATCTAGGAAAGAAACAGCTAAGTTTCTAAGGTAAGAATATACAATTCAAACAAATTTACAATAGGTTAAGTAAAGTATACTACTTATAAATGTCAAGTAAAATATCACAATTTGCTTAAGGTGTGTGTGTATATATATACACATGCGTATGTGTATATTATACATATATACACATATATACGTGTATATATGTACATATATATGTACACACACACACATATGTATATACACGTATGTGTCTATATATGTATATATGCACGTGCGTGTATGCACGTGCGTGTATACACGTGTGTATCTACACACATATGTGTGTACACACGTGTGTGTATACACGTGTGTGCATACACGTGTGTGTGTATACACGTGTGTATATACACATACATATATCTATATATACATGTGTATATACACACTATGAGTAAATGCTGAGATGTATAAGCATTTATAAGTATATATACACATATACATATGTGTATATGTACATATATACACATATACGTATATACATGTATGTATATATACACATGTATATATACACGTCTATACATACATATATCTATATATACATGTGTATATATACACACACATTTTATTTATACGAGTAAATAAAAATGCTGAGATTTATAAGCATTTATAAGTGTATATACACATATACGTATGTGTATATGTACATATATGTACATATATACACATATATACGTATATACACGTATGTGTGTATATATACACATATCTATATATACATATGTGTATATATACACACATACATTTTATTTATACGAGTAAATAAAAATAAATGCTGATTTATAAGCATTTATAAGTATATATACACTATACATATATGTGTATATGTACATATATGTACATATACACATATATATGTATATACACTTATGTGTATGTGTGTATATATACACGTGTATATATACACATCTATATAGACACGTGTATATATACACATCTATATATACACAACTATATATGTGTATATATACACATCTATATATACACATATCTATATATGCATATGTGTATATATACACACACATACATTTTATTTATATGAGTAAATAAAAATAAATGCTGAGATTTATAAGCCATGCTGAATAATTTCTTTAGGCTGCTGGTTTTGGTCTCTAGTGTAAGTAACTATCATACAGTAGTGTATTTATCAGGGGAACCAGCCCCCAATATTTCAACGTAGGTTCTTTTCTATTTTCCCTAAGTGTTGGCCGGTCTGAGAAATAAAGGGAAAGAGTACAAAAGAGAGAAATTTAAAACTGGCTGTCCAGGGGAGACATCACATGTCGGCAGGTTCCGTGATGCCCCCTGAGCCACAAAACCAGCAAGTTTTTATTATGGATTTCAAAAGGGGAGGGGTGTATGAATAGGGTATGGGTCACAGAGATCACATGCTTCAAGGGCAATAAAATATCACAAGGCAAATGGGCAGGGCAAGGTCACAATGCCAGGGCGAAATTAGAATTACTGATGAGGTTCACTGTCCCGCTATGCACAGATTGTCATTGATAAACATCTTAACAGGAAACAGGGTTCAAGAGCAGAGAACCAGTCTGCCTACAATTTCGCCAGGCTGGAATTTCCCAATCCTAACAAGCCTGGGGGCGCTGCTGGAGACCAGGGCATATTTCATCCCCTATCCACAACTGCGTAAGACAGACACTCCCAGAGTGGCCATTTTAGAGGCCTCCCCCTGGGAATGCATTCTTTTCCCAGGGCTGCTCCTTGCTAAGAAAAAGAATTCAGCGATATTTCTTTTATTTGCTTTTGCAAGAAGAGAAATATGACTCTGTTCCGCCCAGCCCGCAGGCAGTCAGACTTTATGGTTATCTCCTTGTTCCCTGAAAATCGCTGTTATCCTCTTCCTTTTCTAGGTGCCCAGATTTCATATTGCTCAAACACACATGCTCTACAAACAATTTATACAGACAACGCAATCATCACAGGATCCTGAGACGAGATACATCCTCAGCTTAAGAAGAAGACGGGATTAAGAGATTAAAGGACAGGCATAGGAAACTATAAGAGTACTGATTGAGGAAGTGATAAATGTCCATGAAATCTTCACAATTTATGTTCAGAGACTGCAGTAAAGACAGGCGTAAGAAATTATAAAAGTATTAATTTGGGGAACTAACAAATGTCCATGAAATCCTCACAGTTTATGTTCTTCTGCCATGGCTTCAGCTGGTCCCTCTGTTCGGGGTCCCTGTCTTCCCGCAACAGTACTGTTCTAACCTGTCTAGTAATGAGGCCAAGAATATTGATTTAATCCCCCAAACACACCAGTTAGCTTAGCTCTGTTCTAATATTAAAATATGTACCCATCATTGTATCTACAGTGGTAAGATCTAACACTGCCTTAAAACCATATAAAGAAAACAAGTACAATATAATAATCACATCATTATACAGATAACACAATCTAAATCATTACGATCAATCAATGACATAGGTTTCCTTACCTCGGTCCATTGCTGTCTTTTCTCCTGGTTGAACAGTTGCCTTGTTCAGCTTTGGTTCGCTGATCCGTGAACTCATTTGCAGTCCTATCTACAACTTCTCCAGCATCAAGTGCTCTGTGTAGTCGATAGTTGACCATCTTCAGAACAATGAAAACAGCAGCTATCACAGGACAATAAACTGCTACTATAATCATGGTAGAAGGAAGGGCCTTTAAGAGAAAGAAAATAAGGAAATACATTTTAAAATATTTTATATCGTATTCAATTAGATAAATCTGTATCTAAAATAATAAACACATTTACACACAAAGCAACAACTATGTTACTAGCGCTAAGCTGCAAAACTTAGCAGCTTCAATGCCCAATGCAAAAGACACTAGCTACATGTGGCTACTGAGTAACTGAAATATGGCTAGTTTGAACTGAGATGTAAAGTGAGAATAAACACTGCATTTCAAAGATTCAATATAAAAAATGTAAAATATCTCAATTTTAATGTTGATTACATGTTGAAATAATACTTAGATTATACTGGTCAAATAAAACATTATTAAAATTAATTTCATGTGTTTCTTTTTATTTAATGTGGCTACTAGAAAATGTTAAATTACATATATGGCTTGCCTGCATTACATTCCCACTGGACAGCACAGGTATACAGTCCATGCCAAAAGCCTTATCATACAATTGGAGAACAAAGGTATCACATTACAGTATATGTGAAGAAATCAAGGTTGTGATCCAAATATAATGCCTCTTTATGGGCTCTGTGCAACCGTTTTTTAGGATACATTCTTCGTATTCCAGAAAATTGGAAGTTAAAACTGTCATGAGAATGACCTTAGAACTGTGACTGTAAAACCAGGTAAGATATGGAAGACATGCAAAATCCAGGTGGGTTTTATTTTAAAATAGTTAAACATTTAAAATACTTAAAAATTGTGGCCTGCCAAACAAAAAGAATAAAAGAACACAGGACAGAATCAAGTAACAGATTAAATAAAATAAGTCAGCCAAACATCCTGGGTGTGGGGCTGAAGGCCCATCACACAGGAGGATTCAGTGATGGGGAACTTGAGTCCACAGGTGGCAGGCTTGGAGAACAGCTCACTGGGAAGGCAAGGCCTAGAGTCACTACTGGCAGAGGTAATACAACTAGGCTCAACTTATCCCAATTTCATGAGAAAAATCACCCAGACATCTATAGCTCTAGATCCCACATGTTTTCACAAGATTCAATCTCAGTTATCTGAGAACATGACCCCAAATTGGCTTTAAAAGAGTAACCTCTAGCCAGGCGTAGTGGTGGGCACTTGTAATCCCAGCTACTTGGGAGGCCGAGGCAGGAGAATCACTTGAACCTGGGAGGTGGAGGTTCTAGTGAGCCAAGATCATGCCACCGCACTCCAGCCTGGGTGACACAGTGATACTCCATTTCAAAAAAAAAAAAGTTAACCTCAAATCACTTGAGACAAAAATAAAAAGGTCTTTATGGGCCAGACAGGTTTAGAATACAGGTATGATCAAATTTCTTTAAAAAAAAAAGAAAAGTTTTTGAGAGGGAAAGAGTGTGGGTTGAAATTAGGATGGAAAAACATAAAGTCCACAAATTAATAATTTTGTGTTGAGTGTCGGCATAATAGGTATATATTAAATATTTGTTATTTTTAAATACTTGGATTAAGAAGTCCTGCATATTAATGTATCTAAAAAATTAAACTTCTGATTCCAACTTAAAATGTTACTGAATAACTGGTTTGGGCTTATAATTTTAAGTTGGGAAATATATTTAGAAGTTTACAAAATGCATAAATATCAGATTTGGAAGAGTTGAGTACCTGTATGATATTGTGAAATATGTATTTGGTCTTCATCCCCATTTTCTGGCAAAAACTCTTAAAATCCTTGGAATCTCCAAACTGGTGTCTTTTTGTTCACTATTAGCTTGACTGGTGCCTGGGGACTCCTGGATAGCCTCAGGAGCCGGGGCTGGTTTCCAGGGGAACCAACCTCCTGATTAGAGGGTTGGACTGAAGTCCCAACTCTCAACCTCCAGGGAGGGAAGAGGGGCTGTAGGATGAGCTGAACACTGTATTAGTCCACTCTCATGCTGCTATGAAGAAATACCCAAGACTGGGTAATTTATAAAGAAAAGAGGTTTAATTGACTCACAGTTCCACATGGCTGAGGAGGCCTCAGGAAACTTACAATCATGGCAGAAGGCACCGCTTCACAGGGCAGCAGGAGAGAGAAATGAATACCAAGCGAACGGGGAAGCCCCTTATAAAACCATCAGTTCTCATGAGAACTCACTGATTATCACAAGAACTGAAGGGCAGAAATGCCCCCATCATTCAATTATCTCCATCTGGTCCTACTCTAGACACATGGGGATTATCACAATTCAAGGTGAGATTTGGGTAGGGACACAGAGCCAAGCCATCATTTCACCCTGGCCCCTCCCAAATCTCTCATCCTCACATTTCAAAACACAATCACGTGCTGCCAACTGTCCCCCAAAGTCTTAACTCATTCCAGCATTAACTCAAAAGTCCAAGCCCAAAGTTTTATCACAGACAAGGCAAGTCACTTCCACCTATAAGCCTGTAAAATCAAAAGCAAATTAGTTACTTCCTAGGTACAATGGGGATACAGGCAATGGGTAAATACACTCATTCCAAATGGGAGAAATTGGCCAAAACAAAGGGACTACAGGCCCCATGCAAGTCCAAAATCCAGCAGGGCAGTCAAATTTTAAAGCTCTGAAATGATCTCCTTTGACTCCATGTCTCACATCCAGGTCACTGATGCAAGACGTGGGCTCCCATGGCCTTGGACAGCTCCATCCCTGTGGCTTTGCAGGGTACAGCTCCCCTCCTGGCTGGCACATGGGCTTGCACTGAGTGTCTGTGGCTTTTCTAGGCACATGGTGCAAGCTGTTGGATCTACCATTCTGTGGACTGGACGACAGCAGCCCTCTTCTTACAGCTCTGTTAGGCCATGCCCAGTGGGGACTCTGCATGGGATGGGTCCAACCCCACATTTCCCTTCCACAGTGCCCTAGCAGATGTTTTCCATAAGGGCTCCACCACTGCAGCAGACTTCTGCCCAGACATCCAGGCACTTCCATACATCCTCTGAAATCCAGGCAAGGGTTCCCAAACCTCAATTCTTGGCTTCTGTGCATCCACAGGACCAACACCACATGTAAGGCACCAATGCTTGATGCTTGCACCCTCTGAAGCAACAGCCTGAGCTGCACATTGGCCCCTTTTAACCACAGGTGGGATGCAGGGTACCAAGTCCAGAGACTGTGCAAAGCAGCAAGGCCCTGGCCTCGCCCAAGAAACCATTTTTTCCTCTAGGCCTCTGGGCTCGTGATGGGAGGGGCTGCCGTGAAGACCTCTGACATGCGCTGGAGACATTTTCACCATTGTCTTGGTGATTAACATTTGGCTCCTCGTTACTTATGCAAATTTATGCAGCTTTCTTGAATTCCTCCCCAGAAAATGGGGTTGTGCTTTCTATTGCATCATCAGGCTGTAAATTTTCCAAACTTTTATGCTCTGTCACCTCTTGAACACTTTGCTGCTTAGAAATTTCTTCCACCAGATATCCTACATCATTTCTCTCAAGTTCAAAGTTCCACAGATCTCTAGGGCAGGAGCAAAATGCCGCCAGTCTCTTTGCTAATAAAGCATAGCAAGAGTCACCTTTATTCCAGTCCCTAATAAGTTCCTCATGTCCATCTAAGACCATCTCAGCCTAGACTTCATTGTCCATATCACTATCAGCATTTTGGTCAAAGCCATTCAACAAGTCTCTAGGAAGTTCCAAACTTTCCCACATCTTCCTGTCTTCTTCTGAGCCCTCCAAACTGTTCCAACCTCTGCCTGTTACCCAGTTCCAAAGTCACTTCCACATTTTTGGGTATCTTTTCAGCAGTGCCCCACTACCTGGTACCAATTTACTGTATTAGTCCATTCTCATGCTGCTATGAAGAAATACCCGAGACTGGGTAATTTATAAGGAAAAGAGGTTTAATTGACTCACATTTCTGCATGGCTGGGGAGGCCTCAGGAAACTTACAATCATGGCAAAAGGCACCTCTTCACAGGGCAGCAGGAGAAAGAAGTGAGTACCCAGCGAAGGGGGAAGCCCCTTATAAAACCATCAGATCTGGTGAGAACTCACTATCTCAAGAACAGCATGGGGGAACCACCCCCATGATTCAGTTATCTCCACGTGGTCCTGCAGTTGATATGTGGGGATTATCACAATTCAAGGTGAGATTTGGGTGAGGACACAAAATCAAACCATATTAATCACCAAATGATGTAATCAATCATGACTACATAATGAAGCTTCTATAAAAACCCAAAAGGCTTGGACTCAGGAGCTTCATGATACCTAACACATGGAGGTTTCTGGAGGGTGGCATGCCCAGAGACAGCATGGAAGCTCCAGGGCCCTTCCCACATGCCTTGCCTCATGCAACTTTTCATTTGTATCCTTTGTATTAATAGTATCTCCAGGTAGACAGTGTCAGAATTGAATTGAATTGGAGGATACCCAGCTGGTATCTGCTGAAGCACCTGCTGCAGAAATTGGTTGACTGCTTGGTGTGTGGGGACACCCCCACACATCTGCTGTCAGAAGTGTTCTGTGCTGTGATAGCATAGTAGGAGAAGAGTTTGTTTTTTCTATAGCCTCTCAACTTGCAAACATTTGTCAGATAATTTAAATCCTTAAAAATGAATACTAAATTTACAAGTGCAATTTGATAAGGTCTTTATTTAAAAAAAACCTTTTTAATTATTGTTAAAATATGTTAGACCTGTAAAGAGTTGAGTTTAAAATTCTTAGTTGTAAGATGGCCGAATAGGAAAAGCTCCAGTCTACAGCTCCCAGCGTGAGCGATGCAGAAGACAGGTGACTTCTGCATTTCCAAATGAGGTACAGGGTTCACCTCACTGGGGCCTGTCGGACGGTGGGTACAGCCCACAGAGTGTAAGCCAAAGCAGGACTGGGCATCACCTCACCCGGGAAGTGCAAGGGGTTGGAGAATTCCCTTTCCTAGCCAAGGGAAGCTGTGACAGATGGCACCTGGAAAATCGGGACACTCCCACCCTAATACTGTGCTTTTCCAATGGTCTTAGCAAACAACACACCAGGAGATTATATCCCACGCCTTGTTCGGAGGGTCCCACGCCCACAGAGCCTCGCTCACTCCTAGCACAGCAGTCTCAGATCAAACTGCAAGGCAGCAGTGAGGCTGGGGGAGGGGCGTCCGCCATTGCTGAGGTTTGAGTAGGTAAACAAAGCTGCCAGGAAGCTCTAACTGGGTGAAGCTCACCGCAGCTCAAGGAGGCCTGCCTGCCTCTGTAGAATCCACCTCTGGGGGCAGGGCATAGCTGAACAAAAGGCAGCAGAAACTTCTGCAGACTTAAACGTCCCTGTCTGACAACTTTGAAGAGAGTAGTGGTTCTCCCAGCACAGAGTTTGAGATCTGAGAATGGACAAACTGCCTCCTCAAGTGGGTCCCTGACCCCCAAGTAGCCTAACTGGGAGACACCTCCCAGTACGGGTCGACTGACACCTCATACAGCCGGGTGCCCCTCTGAGACGAAGCTTCCAGAGGAAGGATCAAGCAGCAACAATTGCCATTCTGCAATATTTGCTGTTCTGCAGCCTCCACTGGTGATATCCAGGCAAACAGGGTCTGGAGTGGACCTCCAGCAAACTCCAATAGACCTGCAGCTGAGAGTCCTGACTGTTAGAAGGAAAACTAACAAATAGAAAGGACATCCACACCAAAACCCCAACTGTAGGTCACCATCATCAAAGACCAAAGGTAGATAAAACCACAAAGATGGGGAGAAACCAGAGCAGAAAAGATGAAAATTCTAAAAATCAGAGTGCCTCTTCTCCTCCAAAGGAATGCAGCTCCTCGCCAGCAATGGAACAAAGGGACAGAGAATGAGTTTGACGAGTTGACAGAAGTAGGCTTCAAAAGATCAGTAATAACAAACTTCTCCGAGCTAAAGGAGGATGTTCGAACCCATCACAAAGAAGCTAAAAACCTTGAAAAAAGATTAGACAAATGGCTAACTAGAATAAACAATGTAGAGAAGACCTTAAATGACCTGATGGAGCTGAAAACCATGGCATGAGAACTACGTGATGCATGCACAACCTTCAGTAGCCGATTCGATCAAGTGGAAGAAAGGGTATCAGTGATTGATCAAATGAATGAAATGAAGTGAGAAGAGAAGTTTAGAGAAAAAAGAGTAAAAAGAAAAGAACAAAACCTCCAAGAAATATGGGACTATGTGAAAAGACCAAATCTATGTCTGACTGGTGTACCTGAAAGTGACAGGGAGAATGGCACCAAGTTGGAAGACACTCTTCAGGATATTATCCAGGAGAACTTCCCCAACCTAGCAAAGCAGGCCAACATTCAAATTCAGGAAATACAGAGAATGCCACAAAGATACTCCTCAAGAAGAGCAACTCCAAGACACATAATTGTCAGATTCACCAAAGTTGAAATGAAGAAAAAAATATTAAGGGCAGCCAGAGAGAAAGGTCAGGTTACCCACAAAGGGAAGCCCATCAGACTAACAGCTGATCTCTTGGCAGAAACTCTACAATCAAGAAGAGAGTGGGGGCCAATATTCAACATTCTTAAAGAAAAGAATTTTCAACCCAGAATTTCATATCCAGCCAAACTAAGCTTCATATGTGAAGGAGAAATAAAATCCTTTACAGACAAGCAAATGCTGAGAGATTTTGTCACCAGGCCTGCCTTACAAGAGCTCCTGAAGGAAGCACTAAACATGGAAAGGAACAACCAGTAGCAACCACTGCAAAAACATGCCAAATTGTAAAGACCATTGATGCTAGGAAGAAACTGCATCAACTAACGGGCAAAATAACCAGCTAGCATCATAATGACAGGATCAAAATCACACATAACAATATTAACCTTAAATGTAATTGGGCTAAATGCTCCAATTAAAAGACACAGACTGGCAAATTGGATAAAGAGTCAAGACCCATCAGTGTGCGCTGCATTCAGGAGACCCATCTCATGTGCAGGGACACACATAGGCTCAAAATAAAGGGATGAAGGAAGATCTACCAAGCAAATGGAAAACAAAAAAAACAAGGTTGCAATCCTAGTCTCTGATAAGACAGACTTTAAACCAACAAAGATCAAAAGAGACAAAGAAGGCCATTGCATAACGGTAAAGGTATCAATTCAACAAGAAGAGCTAACTATCCTAAATACATATGCACCCAATACAGGAGCACCCGGATTCATAAAGCAAGCTCTTAGAGACCTACAAAGAGACTTAGACTCCCACACAATAATGGGAGACTTTAACACCCCACTGTCAACATTAGACAGATCAACGAGACAGAAAGTGATCAAGGATATCCAGGAATTGAACTCAGCTCTGCACCAAGTGGACCTAATAGACATCTACAGAACTCTCCACCCCAAATCAACAGAATATACATTCTTCTCAGCAACACACTGCACTTATTCCAAAACTGACGACACAGTTGGAAGTAAAGCACTCCTCAGCAAATGTAAAACAACAGAAGTTATAACAAACTGTCTCTCAGACCACAGTGCAATCAAACTAGAACTCAGGATTAAGAAACTCACTCAAAACCACTCAACTACATGGAAACTGTACAACCTGCTCCTGAATGACTACTGGGTACATAACAAAATGAAAGCAGAAATAAAGATGTTCTTTGAAACCAATGAGAACAAAGACACAACATACCAGAATCTCTGGGACACATTTAAAGCAGTGTGTAGAGGGAAATTTATAGCACTAAATGTCCAGAAGAGAAAGCAGGAAAGATCTAAAATTGACACCCTAACATCACAATTAAAAGAACTAGAGAAGCAAGAGCAAACACATTCAAAAGCTAGCAGAAGGCAAGAAATAACTAAGATCAGAGCAGAACTGAATGAGACAGAGACACAAAAAACCCTTCAAAAAAAATCAATGAATCCAGGAGCTGGATTTTTGAAAAGATCAACAAAATTGATAGACCACTAGCAAGACTAATAAAGAAGAAAAGACAGAAGAATCAAATAGACGCAATAAAAAATGATAAAGGGGATGTCACCACCTATCCCACAGAAATACAAACTACCATCAGAGAATACCATAAACACGTCTACGCAAATAAGCTAGAGAATCTAGAAGAAATGGATAAATTCCTGGACACATACACCCTCCCAAGACTAAATCAGGAAGAAGTTGAATCCCTGAATACACCAATAGCAGGCTTTGAAATTGAGGCAATAATTAATAGCCTACCAACCAAAAAAAGTCCAGGACCAAAGGGATTCACAGCCAAATTCTACCAGAGGTATAAGGAGGAACTGGTACCATTCCTTCTGAAACTATTCCAATCAATAGAAAAAGAGAGAATCCTCCCTAACTCATTTTATGAGGCCAGCATCATCCTGATACCAAAGTCGGACAGAGACACAACCAAAAAAGAGAATTTTAGACCAATATCCTTGATGAACACTGATGCAAAATCCTCAATAAAATACTGGCAAACCGAATCCAGCAGCACATCAAAAAGCTTATCCACCATGATCAAGTGGGCTTTATCCCTGGGATGCAAGGCTGGTTCAATATACACAAATCAACAAATGTAATCCAGCATATAAACAGAACCAAAGACAAAAACCACGATTATCTCAATAGATGCAGAAAAGGCCTTTGACAAAATTCAACAACACTTCATGCTAAAAACTCTCAATAAATTAGGTATTGATGGGACGTATCTCAAAATAATAAGAGCTATCTATGACAAACCCACAGCCAATAATCATACTGAATGGGCAAAAACTGGAAGCACTCCCTTTGAAAACTGGCACAAGACAGGTATGCCCTCTCTCACCACTCCTATTCAACATAGTGTTGGAAGTTCTGGCCAGGGCAATCAGGCAGGAGAAGGAAATAAAGGGTATTCAATTAGGAAAAGAGGAAGTCAAATTGTCCCTGTTTGCAGATGACATGATTGTATATTTAGAAAACCCTATCGTCTGAGCCCAAAATCTCCTTAAGCTGATAAGCAACTTCAGCAAAGTCTCAGGATACAAAATCAATGTGCAAAAATCACAAGCATTCCTATATACCAATAACAGACAGAGAGCCAAATCATGAATGAACTCCCATTCACAATTGCTTCAAAGAGAATAAAATACCTTGGAATCCAACTTACAAGGGATGTGAAGGACCTCTTCAAGGAGAACTATAAACCACTGCTCAACGAAATAAAAAAGGACACAAACAAATGGAAGAACATTCCATGCTCATGGATAGGAAGAATCAATATTGTGAAAATGGACATACTGCCCAAGGTAATTTATAGATTCAATGCCATCCCCATCAAGCTACCAATGACTTTCTTCACAGATTGGAAAAAAACTACTTTAAAGTTCATATGGAACCAAAAAAGAGCCCGCACTGCCAAGACAATCCTAAGCCAAAAGAACAAAGCTGGAGGCATCATGCTACCTGACTTCAAACTCTACTACAAGGCTACAGTAACCAAAACAGCATGGTCCTGGTACCAAAACAGAGATATAGACCGATGGAACAGAACAGAGCCCTCAGAAATAATACCGCACATCTACAGCTATCTGATCTTTGACAAATCTGACAGAAACAAGAAATGGGGAAAGGATTCCCTATTTAATAAATGGTGCTGGGAAAACTGGCTAGCCATAGGTAGAAAGCTGAAACTGGATCCCTTTCTTATACCTTATACAAAAATTAATTCAAGATGGATTAAAGATTTAAATGTTAGACCTAAAACCATAAAAACCCTAGAAGAAAACCTAGGCAATACCATTCAGAACATAGGCATGGGTAAGGACTTCATGACCAACACACCAAAAGCAATGGCAACAAAAGCCAAAATTGACAAATGGGATCTAATTAAACTAAAGAGTTTCTGCACAGCAAAAGAAACTACCATCAGAGTGAACAGGCAACCTACAGAACGGGAGAAAATTTTTACAATCTATCCATCTGACAAAGGGCTAATATCCAGAATCTACAAAGAACTTAAACAAATTTACAAGAAAACAATCAAACAAACCCATCAAAAAGTGGGCAAAGGATATACACAGACACTTCTCAAAAGAAGACATTTATCCAGCCAACAGACACATAAAAAAATGCTCTTCATCACTGGCCATCAGAGAAATGGAAATCAAAACCACAATGAGATACCATCTCACACCAGTTAGAATGGTGATCATTAAAAAGTCAGGAAACAACAGGTGCTGGAGAGGATGTGGAGAAATAGGAACACTTTTACACTGTTGGTGGGACTGTAAACTAGTTCAACCATTGTGGAAGACAGTGTGGCAATTCCTCAAGGATCTAGAACTAGAGATACCATTTGACCCAGCCATCCCATTACTGGGTACTTAGCCAAATGATCATAAATCATGCTGCTATAAAGACACATGCAACACGTATGTTTAATGCAGTACTATTCACAATAGCAAAGACTTGGAACCAACCCAAATGTCCATCAATGATAGACTGGATTAAGAAAATGTGGCACATATACACCATGGAATACTATGTAACCATAAAAAAGGATGAGTTCATGTCCTTTGTAGGGACATGGATGAAGCTGGAAACCATCATTCTGAGCAAACTGTCGCAAGGACAGAAAACCAAACACCAGATGTTCTCACTCATAGGTGGGAACTGAACAATGGGAGCACATGGACACAGGGTGGGGAACATCACACACCAGGGCCTGTCGTGGGGTGGGGGGAGGGAGGAGCGATAGCAATAGGAGATATACCTAATGTAAATGACGAGTTAATGGGTGCAGCACACCAACATGGCACATGTATACATATGTGACAAAGCTGCACGTTGTGCTCATGTACCCTAGAACTTAAAGTATAATAAAAAATAAAAAATAAAAATAAAATTCCTAGTTGTTTAATTTATAGCTTTAATAAATCTAATATTCATTATGAAAAACAAAATACTCTGAATAGCCTTTTCTGAGCAAAATAACCACTCTCAAACACACAACACAAACTGCTTTGATACATATAAACACATATACATCTCAGAGAATTTAAAAAAATTGTGTGACACTGGTTTCCATCTGAAATACTGGTCATAAAAACCAGAATTCCTGGAAATTATTTAGTTCAATACCTTCATTTCCAGACAGGAATTTTAATGACTTAGCCATGATCACCCATCTTAATATCAATATTAAGCGAGGTTTCTTATGCCTATTTCAGTGCCTATTTTGCTATATACCACACTGCCAATTCCATTTTCAAATGTAAAATGTCAAAAAATAAAGAGTTCCACTGTAATTCACTGTAGTCCACATTAAGATAAAAACGATTGATATTAATTAAGTGGACAGAAAGGCAACAACCCCAACATTATTACTCAGTGTTAGACAAATTCATCGAAAATATTAATGGCTCTGCCAAATAGGAAAAGATAAAACAGAGTACTTAACACTGAATGGTCTACAGGATCTGCCTCTACAAAAAGAGTCAAAGATCATGAATGCTTAAAACACACCTAAATAAACTCTCTCCCCCTACTATTATATTGCTAAGAGCAGTGGCCAACTGGGTGCCAAAAACACACTGAAATGTGCAAGATGTACATATTAAGTGTAGAACTTCCTTTTAAAAGTAGGGACAGTGTCTCGCTATGTTGCCCAGGCTGTTCTCAAACTCTTGGCCTCAAGTGATTCTCCCACCTCAACCTTGCAAAGTGCTCGGATTACAGGCATGAGACACTGTGCCCAGCTCAGAATTTCTTTTTTAAGAGCACTGAACAGAGAAAAGACTTTGAACAAAATAAAAATTTAGGTGACCATTACATACTGGAAACCAGTACCTGATGAACGATACTTGTATTTTCTATTCAAATTACAAAAGTTACACATTTATTTTCCACTATCTGATCTAAATGCATAAGCCCTGCCAGTGATTACTCTTGAGGTTTCTGGGTGACAAAGGACAGCTGTGCTGTAACAGTTTAACTTTTCCCAAAGGGGGTAAAAGTGCATACACACCGGTCTGTCTGGTGACTTAGTTTAAACTTATTCTCTACTCTACTTGGATTACTTCACTGGACTCTCAGCTGATTCCAGAGCAGCTGACAATTATTACCAGCAGATCATAATAGATCATAAACCCTTCCTGTAATTGTGATTCACATTGTCATGCAACTTATCTGCAGAACTTTTTCGTTTTACAAAACTGAAACCCTCTATCTATTAAACAACAACTTCCTTTCCCCTATGCCCTGGCAACCACCACCTACTTTGTGTTTCTATAAATCTGACTACTTTAATGTTTTATTTTTTCAAGTCCAAAGTGAGCAAGAAGATCTGGGAAAGTTTGGAACTTCCTAGAGACTTGTGTAATTTCAATGTGAATATTTCAACACTGACACTACTGAAGAGTATACTTAAAAATGGTTAAAATGTCTGTACCCAGTGGTTATGACTGTAATCCCAGCTACTCACAGGAGGCTGAGGGGGGAGGATCAATTGAGCCCAGGAGTTCAAGTCCAGCCTAGGCAACATAGTGAGACCCTGTCTCTGAAACAAAAATTTTTTAAATGGTTAAGATAATAAATTTTATATTATGTGTTTTTACCACAATTTTTTTTAAGCTAGATGGATAAATATTTCACTTTGTTTTCTCTCCAGTAAGGGAAGAAAACCAAATGTTGAGAAACAAGCTGGGAAACCGAGCCATTTACCCCACAGTTTAGTCTTCTTAAATTCTGACAGCTTATCCTTAACACTAAAAATTGCGCAATTTCATCCAGGAGTAATAGGTTCAAGCTATTCAAGATGCCAAATACATTTCTAATAGGACTCTTGAAAACGCCGCTTGGCATCACAGAAATGGTCATACCAGAATTATTACAGTCACGAGGTAACCTTATTATTTCATTTAAAAACTCAAGTGAATAATTTGGCTAGCACTTTGCAAGGTAAAAATGCAATCTTTTATACAATACTCCTTTCCTTGTGCAGCAATGTAAAGGTTTTGTTTTGGATTGATAACTTTCACTATCTCCTTCACCACTGGCTCAAGATCTGGAAGTACATTGTAGCCAAAGCCTGCTTCCTTAATATACTTGTAGCTGTTCTCCAACAGAATGGATTTCAATGCATCTTTTCCAGTCTATGTTACAAAGTGATTATCAATTAAATCTAACACTTAATGTCAACTAACTTCTAATACTTAGTGATTATGATGTGCAAGGTATATTTTTAAGCACTTTAAGTATACTAACTCATTTAGCCCTCACAATCACCTCATGGCTCTATTATTCTTCTCATTTTCAAGATAGGGAAACTAAGGCACAAGACTAGACATTAGAGAGCAGTTTGGCTGCACAGTCAGGATCAGCAAACTTTTTTCTTAGGGCCAAAACAACATATACTTCAGTTTGTAGATGATCTGTTGGAACTACTCAACTCTACTGTTATAGCATAAAAGAAGCCATAGATATATAAACAAATAAACATGCTATGTTCCAATAAAACCTCATTTATAGACACAAATCCAAATTTCATATAATTCTCACACATCACAAAATATTACTTCTTTTGAATTTCTTTTCAAGCATTAAAAATGTAAAAATAATTCTTAGCTCATGGGGCATACAAAAACCTCCATGGGCCATAGTTTGCTGATCTCTACTCTAAATGAAAAATTATTTTCTTCTCTAACCAATAACCCAAACAAAAGGTCATCAAGCTCTTCTCCTTCATACATGCCAACTACAAATCTATCACCGCCAACACCACCAGTTTCTTCCAACAGTAAAGCAAAGTAGCTGCTAGTAAACATAGGCCAGTAATTGCTCTTTCATCATGTATGAAATCAAGGCACATTCAACAGTGGCATTTAGTAACAAAATTCTGAAAACAGCTCCTCTAGCTTGCTCTCCAAGCAAAATAATTATAATTAATTTTTTAAAGTAGTTTTACAATTTTGGATTATACCTTCATGTTTTTTGGTGTCTTCCCCCTCAGTGAGAAAATGTATCAGTTTACACTAGAAAACAATGGTTTAGGATTATTGTAAAAAATGCAATTGGTTCCATAAAAATCCCTAGAAAAATAATAAAAACTTCTTGGCCGGGCGTGGTGGCTCAAGCCTGTAATCTCAGCACTTTGGGAGGCCGAGGCAGGCGGATCACCTGAGGTCGGGAGTTCGAGACCAGCCTGACCAACATGGTGAAACCCCGTCTCTACTAAAAATACAAAATTAGCCGGGCATGGTGGCGCATGACTGTAATCCCAGCTACTCGGGAGGCTGAGGCAGGAGAATCGCTTGAACCCAGGAGACGGAGGTTGCAGTGAGCCAAGATTGCACCATTGCATTCCAGCCTGGGCAACAAGAGCGAAATTCCATCTCAAAAAATAAAAATAAAAATAAATAAATAAATAAAATTAGATAAATAAAAATAAAAACTTCAATAGACATGTCACTATTTGACATAAAAGGTAACTGACTAGGGACTAGGAACAGAGTCTGTTAGCACAATAAAGGAAAAATTTAAAAATAGATACAAACATGAAGCCTGTGTCTTACTGTCTCTCTAAAAAGGTAGATTAATTGTAAGAAAAATCATAGAAAGTAAAAATAAAACAATCTAGATCACCCTTTCAAAACACAAAGATACCCCGAAGTTTACATTTCTTCACATCTCCTTGTACTAGATGTTTTTCCTCAAAATGTTTAGCTATAAATGTATAACAAATAAATACAATTGTCTCTCCCCGGAAGCTGTCCTTTGCTGCCTTATATGCTATAGTTTCACATCCAGCTATTAGAAAAAGTTGAAAAAGTTTCGTTTCCAAATTTAAAACACTAAATTTATTTAGATTATTCGATTATTCTTTTTGTTTTTGTTTTTGAGATGGAGTTTTGCTCTTGTTGCCCAGGCTGGAGTGCAATGGCGCGATCTCGGCTCTCTGCAACCTCTGCCTCCCAGGTTCAAGCGATTCTCCTGCCTCAGCATCCCGAGTAGCTGCGACAGATAACAGGTATGTGCCACCACGCCCAGCTAATTTTGTATTTTTAGTAGAGACAGGGTTTATCCACGTTGGTCAGGCTGGTCTGGAACTCCCGACCTCAGGCGATCCGCCCGCCTTGGCCTCCCAAAGTGCTGGGATTACAGGCGTGAGCCACCGTGCCTGGCCCTAGATCATTCTTAAATCCCTGTTTCTCTTTGTGTGGTCTGAGATCTCTGAATGTTCCCAACTACCAAGTTAAGAAAACGGTGCTTCTAGTGAGCTATGGCAGAAACAACCACTAGCATATTTATTGCGAAAAACTGAACTTAATTTTTTTGGCTTTAAAGTTCTGTCTGTTCTGCTAATAGTATCTTGTAGAAAAAGAACTAAAAATTAAATAATACCAAAAAAATCTGGCAGATGAAAACAAAAATTAGCAGAATTTGAAAGCAGTATGCCTTATGCCCTAGACATGGGGAAAACACACAAACGGGCACACTAATCCTATCGTAAATTGTAAGTTCCATCCATCAGTATATCTGGACTAACTTTTCTTAACACTCTTTCAGGAGATGAAAACTAAACATTTGTAACAATAGCAGTGCTGCCTTCTTTCTACTGTCTGCCTAAAAATCAGTCCATCCTATGGCTGTTTACATTGTGGGCAAATTACTAATGGGAAAAAGAATTAACCATTTTTTTGTAAAGCTCTTAAGATGGCCAATTGGCCTCAAGTTTTAGCTTTTTTACTGGTATGCCTGAAGGGGTGGGGAGTTGGGAACACCTCTACTTACTCACAATGATAGAAAAACCCCCTTTGGCTTTTTCCCAAAGAAAATGGGCAAGTTAATTCCTGCAGTGTTTGCAATTCAGTTCCATAGCTCTCCCACCTTTCATTCTTGGTGGATGGAGAGAATGCTGGTGAGAAGGGAGAAAGAAGGGTTTAGTACTCAAATATTACCTATAAATTTAGAAAATGTTAATTAAGAGGGATCAGAAAGAATATGAATGTTTTTAATAAGGCTTACAGTTTTCCATATATAAGCTGCCCCCCAAAGGACTCAGAAAAGGCCCTGATATCAATGGCCATGGCTCCAGGGATTTAGCCCTCTTGCCACAGTCTCCTTTGGGGATTGAGGTAAAGCATTCCAGTTAGAAGTCTCCTTTCAGAGGATGGAGCTGCAGAGGAAAAGGAGAAAAGTACTCTCAATGTTGAGATTCAGGCATACTTTCCCAAAGGAAAAAAAAAAACATAATATTCTACTGAGCTAACTACACAGGGCCAAACTAATTTCAGAGGGCCAGCTGGGAACCTGTGTACAAACTCACAGTGCATTTTCCCCAAAGGCAACTGGTTTACAAGTGAGCTATTGGAACTTGAGCCTACCTGTATTTCTGCAAATGTCTGCTACATAAATATTTTAATATAAATAGAATTAAAAATAATAGATATTATCTTTTTTAAAAATCTGTATCTATCTTTTAAAAATCTGTTTGTCACTCCATAACCTACATTTGAATTAATATTTATATTTTTAGCTACAATAGAATGCTGTTCTTAGGGAGGTAACAGTCAAAATTTATGCCACATCACCTAGCTGAAAAGAGACTAAAATAACATAGCACATGCAACTCATCGGCAACAGAGATTGAGTCTATTACTCAGGGCAGAAGTCACTAAGCCAGGAGTTAGAGATGAGCAGCTTGATCCATATGAAGCCAGGTACAGTGACATTCGCCTGTAGCCCCAGCTCTTTGGAAGGCTGAGGTGGTAGGACTGCTTGAGCCCAAAAGTTCAAGGCTGCAGTGTCCTATGACTGTACCTGTGAGCAGCCACTGCACTCCAGCCTAGGCAACATAGGGAGACCCTGTCCCTTAAAAACACACAAACACATACACACATACACACACACAACATATGCACAGGCACACACACATGCATGAGAAGAAAGGGCACAGACATGAAAAATAAGGGATGAAGAAAAAAACCCAACAAATAAATGTGAGGATGTATACTGATGGACTAAAATAATCTTATGTACATTATAGAATTTTTCCTATACTTTTATTTAAAGAAAGAAAATCATTTATACAATTTGAATCTATAAATTCTGGTGAAAGTCAATGTCCTCATAATTAAAATGTTACGTATATCCTTTCTACTCTATTTCATGAAATGATTTTGTCCAATTTATTCACATATTTTTAGCAACAGAAGTTTCTTCATCACAGAAGTCATTATGAGTTACCTAACACAGGTTTACATAGCACATCTACATCATCATTTCAGTATAAGTTTGAGTTCTAACACTTTCTGTATGATGCTGTTCCTAGGAATTCTGTGTAACCAAATGTCCATTTGTACTTAATTAGGACAACTTTTCTTTTTTTCACTCATCACATAAGTACATATTCTTATCTCCATAAGCTACTTTTTAACTTAATCCAACAAGTGTTAATGACATCCAACACTTGCAAATTATTAAGTTATAACCCTAGTAACAGTTATGATTAGCTATGCTAAATTTTAAAAAACTGTTTAAAAATCAAGTCATGTTGCTACAAACACACACAAGAAAAACAACTGGATGAAAAACAGTAACTGGGCAAGTGGAAAGTAATACAAAAGACTTTGTAATAAGTCAGATAATATAATTCCTTCTTGGCTGAGGGATACTTTTGGGTCAGGGGGCACCTAGCCTAATAATCAAATATATATAGTCATATGGTAGACTAGAGATAGAATGCTTCAAAACAAGAGCAAGACGGTAAGAGGGGAAAAAAAAAAACACTGAATGTACAGCAGAGCTTTCCCCGAGTTTCCAAAAGCATCTTTAGATCACTGTAGAGAACAAAAGAAATAATAATTTTCATGTAATCCCAAAAGGGTATCCAAACAATTCCTATCTAGAAGCATTTGTTAAAGATAGCACACTTTGAAATTTTTCAAAAATGAAGGTAACAAAGAGGCCCCGGAATAGAACATACCCAACAATCTAAACTTTATAGATAGAAATGGTGATTCACAAAAACCTTTTACAAAACTAACTCATCCTATCCTATGTGTTGAAATGGTTTTCTGATGAGATTAAGGTACCTATTCCCAAACCATCAAGTAGCAGCAAGCCAAAAGTGTAACGGTTTTAAAAACTGCTATGTCTGAGAATTATAACTGGTTATTAAAATAAAGCAGAAAGGTAGAGGTATGTATGCATATTAAAGAAATAGTCTGGTACAGATTTGTCTCCCAGTATTATCCGGATGGTATCATCTGGAGACTGCATGCCATTCTTTACCCCAAAATTCCCAAAGTAAAAACTGAAAGAATGGCTATATAGGAATATAACTTGAGAGGCACTAACAATGTTTTGATTTATATGTGATTTTCTTAGTAAACCTAACCATTCTGGAAAAAGGAAAAGGTGCCCTACACTAAGAACTATCTTCATTAATATTTCCTTTTGTAAATTAGTAACAATATTTTACTGTATAAATCACTCTTTTATTTATCAGTCTAAGTAAATCCCACAGTAAATTGATAAACACTGAATTTCTAAATGGTAAATATGAGGACCAAAGCTGTCTCATGGCAAGTCCAACTTAAATAGCTTTACCTATCCTGTTTCTCCCATTTGTTCCTGATATATTCTATTGCAACATTTTTTCAGGATTCACAATTAAGTAAAAGTAAGCATTCATTAACAAATTCTGTCAACATGACACTGCAATTCTGAAGAATAGCAGCTAGGTTATTGTTTTAACATACCTCACAAAATGCCAGTTCAGGATACATTTAATGGGATTACCTTATGAGCAAATACATTAAAAACAATGAGATTCTCCTTGCTCCTATATAAAAGTATAACTATATTCTTATAGACGTAGTATAATAAGCAAGCACAAAATAATAACAGTAACTCAAATTTAAAGCTTTTAAGAATCAAAATAATTCAATAATGAAAGTATTAGGTCAAAGGAAGAGTCAAACTATGAGAATTAAGTAAAAATAAATATTTTAAAATGAAATATTAATATATACAAAAATTAGATCAAAAATTATTTTGCTTATATTCTTTTCTGTTTCACTAACATTTAGTAGAAGAAACCGCAAGCTGAATTCTAACACAAGAATGAAAATCAGGCCTGGCGCAGTGGCTCACACCTGTAATGCCAGCACTTTGGGAGGCCAAGGTGGGAGGATCACTTGAGGTCATGAGTTTGAGACCAGTCTGGCCAACATGGTGAAACTGTCTCTACTAAAAATATAAAAATTAGCGAGACTTGGTGGTGCACGCCTGTAATCTCAATTACTAGGGAGCCTGAGGCAGGAGAATCGCTTGAACCTGGGAGGCAGAGGTTGCAGTGAGCCAAGATCGCACCACTGCACTCCAGCCTGGGCAAGAGAGTGAGACACTGCCTCCCAGAAAAAAATAAATAAATAAATAAATAAATAAAAGAGAGAGAATGAAAATCAATAAGATATATAAACTGTAAAAAGTATATTAGCTCTCATAAGAGCATTACCAGAACCCAAATATCATTTCCATCACACTTGCCCTGAGCTCAATTTGCTTGAAACAGAATGATACTATTGCATGCTGTATAATCCATTTCTACCTTTAAACAGAAGTACTACAATTACGCACATTTAACATACTATATTTAAGGTGAAGTAAATGTGAAAGATGCCTAACAGAAAAAAATTTAAAAACGTAGAAGAGCATATCCTACTACCACCATAAAGGCAACTAAGACACACTTACAGAACAGGAGCTTGATCCATTCATGCAACAATTTACTGAACACCTATTAAGTCTCAGATATTCTACTAAGGAATGTTAATACGGAAATAAACATGATCCTTTCTCTCTTTGAGCTTCTTAGGAGAATGACAAATTTAGTGTTTTACCAAGCACTACATACACTGGATTATATTGCCACAATCCTTTGAAGAAAGTACTGTTATTATCTTAATTTTAAAGGAGAAAACTGAGGCCATGAAGTCATATGCCCACAGCTGGTAAGCGGCAGAAAGTGAAGCGATACCCAGTCTGACTCCACAGCCTGCATTTTTAAGCACTAAACTATACTGTCTCCCTCCAATGCAGTGTTTCTCACCCATTTTCTTCATTATTGTCCTCCTAAGTAGCCTTTTCAGACATTCTTTTCCTCATCACGCTCCCTGTGAAATTTTAATACCAGATACACTGCACACTTGTTTGTGCTGCATGTACATCTGTACTTTATATGTAAAAAGAATAAGATTTTTTTTTCACACATGCATCCCTCAAGAGTTAATTTCTGCCCCCTTGAGGGTAACACCACACCCACTGAGAACATAAACTCTGGGGCAATGTTCCTCGCTGTGGGCACCGTTGACACTTAAAGCCAGACAATCCTTTGGTGTGGGGCGCTGTCATGTGCATTATAGGAGGTTTAAAATCCCCTTGGTTTCTACCCACTAGAGGCCTACAGCACTGCTGTTTCAAGTTAGGTTAAAATCTCCCAAAAGAGGTTTACATTCCTTGAAACATGCAGCCAATTGGCAGCAAGTGCTTCTCTTGCTGCTATTTACATATTCATAAGGGCTACAGTACAAATTTTGTTCATATTGAACTGGAATGGGCAGGATATACACAGACTGTAAATGCTGCATCTCTGTAGCGAGAGTGAAGGAGCAGGTGAGACGGCAGGGGCAATGGCAAGAGAGTATCTGATATAAGCACAGCAAGGAAAGAACCCCACATTAGACCAGTAAGTGAAAGCACATAAAAGTTTAATGAAATCCATTTATAATGTGTGCCACAGAACAAGGCTAACCCTGGCCCCAAATGACCAGTGACACAAATTATCTCACTTTAAGTATATGCAAGAACCATAACTAAATCCCTGGGAAAACACTGTACTAAATGGGCTTCCACTGTATTCACATAATATGTTGGTCAAGAAGGAGAGCCAAGATTAAGGATATAACTAGATGGAGATGGGAAGGACAGCTCTGAGTTTTGGATCCCGGAATACACTGAAAAAGATCAGGAGATGCTCAGTTCATGTCAAATCAATCACAGGTAGGCTTTCAAACGCAGACTAATCAGAAAGAAGCATCTTGTATGATGGTGGAGGGTGATGGAAGGTGGCTATGGCGGTCAAAAGGAAAAAACGGCAGGGGCAATCTATGTAAACATGAGCCAGTGATTTAACCCCTAGGAGCCTCTGTTTCCTCCTCTGCAAAAGGGGATTTACAGTATCTTCATCTCACAAAGCTATGATGAGGATTAAATGAGAACATTTGAAAGCATATGGTGCATGGGTATATAACAGCACAATAAATATTTGATATTTTTAATAATGTTTAAGCAGTACAGTGACAAAATTAAGACAAGCAAATAAAAAGACCTGAGTAGATACAGTTCAGGGCAACCAAAGATGAGCTACATGAAAAAAAAAAAAAAAAAAAAAGATGAGGTAAGTGAGATTTGTGAGCCCTCAGAATACAGAGGTAAATATTAGTCTGATAGTGAATGACCGGAAGTCACTGGAAAATGAATACAGAAATATTTCTGTAAAATGGGGGGAAAAATCTATTTTTCAAACAAAAACAGTATGCTTGACAGTAAAACACTAGAATTCCCATTAAAGTAAGGAACTAGACAAGGCTGTCTTCATTTTCAACATTATTTAACACAGACATAAAGATGTAAAGGTACCATGCAAAACAATTACATAAGGTAAAAACGCAAGCCGGGCTTCGTGGCTCATGCTTGTAATCCCAGCACTTTGGGAGGCTGAAGCAGGCAGATCACTTGAGGTCCGGAGTCCAAGACCAGCCTGGCCAACATGGCAAAACCTCATCTCTACTAAAAATACAAAAATTAGCCGGACGTTGTGGCGCACGCCTGTAATCCCAGCTACTCGGGAGTCTGAGGCAGGAGAATCACTTGAAGCCAGGAGGTGGAGGTTGCAGTGAGCTGAGATCGCACCACTGCACTCCTGTCTGGGCAACAGAGTGAGATTCTGTCTCAATAAAAAATTAAAAAAAAAAAAACCAGATGTGAAAACTGTTATTTACAAATATAATTGCATATCTGAAAATGTCTTTAAAATCAACAGAACAATGTAAGAATAAACTAGTTCAGGCCAGGTGCAGTGGCTCATGCCTGTAATCCCAACAAGCAGTTTGGGAGGCTGATGTGGGTGGATTGCTTGAGCCCAGGAGCTCAAGACCAGCCTGGGCAACATAGCAAAACCCTGTCTTTACAAAAAATACAAAAATTACCCAGGCGTGGTGGGGTGTGTGCTTACAGCCCAGCTACTCAGGATGCTGAGGTGGGAGGGTCACCTGAGCCCAGAGAAGTGGAGGGTGTGGTGAACCATGATCACGCCATGCACTCCAGCCTGGGTGAGAGAATTAGACCCAGTGTCAAAAATAAAATAAAATAAAGGAATAAACTAGTTATATAAGGTGACTAGTTCAAAATTAATAAACTAAAATCAAAAGTTTTGGATGGAACCTAACAGAAAAAGGACATTAAGTGAAAACTAAAGAAATCTGAATAAAGTATGAACTTTAAGTTAATAATGATGTATCAGTATTGGCTCACTGGTTGTGACAAATGCACCACAGTAATCTAAGATGTTAACAAGAGGAGAAACCGGATGCAGTGTATACGGGATCTCTCTGCACTATCTTTGAGACTTTTCTATGCATTCTAAAACCAGATTTCTTTTAAAATATCTTGAGGGCAATTTGGTAGGTTTTTTTCTGTTTTTTCTTTTTCTTTTTTTTTTTTTTTTTTGAGACAGTCTCACTCTGTGTCACCCAGGCTGGAGTGCAGTGGCACAATCTCGGCTCACTATAGTCTTGACCTCCCAGGCTCAGTCAATCCTCCCACCTCAGCCTCCCAAGTAGCTGGGACTACAGGCACATACTAACATGCCCAGGTAATTTTTTGTACTTTTTGTAGAGACAGGGTTTCCCCATAGAGCCCAGGCTAGTCTCGAACTCCTGGACTCAAGCAATCTGCCTGCCTCGGCCTCCCAAAGTGCTGGGATTACAGGTGTGAGCCACAGTGCCCAGCCTAGGCAGTATCTTTCAAAACTGCAGAAGTATTAGCCCTTTGACAAAGCAATCCTATTTATAGGAATTTATCTTAATAATGTACCTGGACACATGTGAAATGACTGTGCAAATTATTTACTGCAGCATGTTTTGTGTTAGCAAAGGCTGTTAAAAAAAAAATCTGTCAGCTGGCAACAGGTTAAATAATACATCCAGGCAATGGAATACTATTCACTATTAAAACAACTCAAGAAGCCCTTAGCTACCGATGGACAGATGTTTAAGATATATTAAGTGGGGGGTGGGGAAGCCAGTATATACACTAGTATGGTAGGGGAGAGGCAGACATATATTTGAATTTTCATCTTTATGCTACAGTGGGATGCACAAGAAACTGTTCATAGTGGTTTCTTGTGGGAGGTGGTACACGAGTGGACAACAGGAGGATCATGTGCAGGTAGAAAACGGCAACCTTTCATCATCTTTTGGAGTTTTGTTGGTTTTTAATCATGCAAATTTATTGCCATATTTTAAAAGTATTGGAAGAAAACATGAATTTTAAAAAAATCTTTAATAGATATTAGACAAAAACATGAATTTTTTTCTTACAAGCCCTTAATAGGTATTAGATGAAAACATGAATTTTTTTACAAACCTTTGATAGAGCAGAATTTTATAGCATGGAGAAAACTGGTAAATGTGAATACTATATATTTTAAGGTTATATAATAAAAATAGGGGAAATCTTTAATAAACCACAATAACTAATTTTTACATATATATAGAACTCTCACAAATCACAGAAAAACAACGTTTCAGAAAAGGACAAAATATACAAAAGGCAGTTAAAAGAAAAAAGACGTGTGTGTGTCTACTAGGCATATGAAAAGATACTCAAAGAATTCATGATTAAGGAAACATAGATTAAAACAAGATGCCATTTTACACTATCACATTGAGAAAGATTCATAATAACCAATGTTGGTACAAACAAAAGGAAACAGATACTTTCACATCCTGGAGAGAATATAAATTGGTAGATTTGTTTGAGGTATTATTTGGCAACATCTAGTTTGATTTTAAATGTGCATACCGTTTGACCCAGTAATTTTTATAAACTAATGCTACAAATCCCACAAGTCTTATATACGTAAGTGTTCACTAATATATTGCCCAGCATTGTTTGCACTAGCAAAAAAAAAAAAAAAAAGGTAATGACCTAAATGTCCCCCACTAGGGAACCAATAATTTATACAATGGATTACTCTAAAATGGTTCAAAAAATGAAGAAGAGTTACATGCACTTCAGTGGATCCTGCAACACAAATATAATCCCATTGGCTATTTCAAGTACATACATATATGAATATATGTTTGTATATATACACTACCAAGAGGAAACAACCATTATCTCTGAGGCATGTGAACTGGTAGCGTGGATGATAGAGAACAGAAGACTTTTTATTTTATTTATAACATTTCCCCTATTTTTATTATATAACCTTAAAATATATAGTATTCACATTTACCGGTTTTCTCCATGCTATAAAATTCTCCCCTATTAAAGGTTTGTAAAAAAATTCATGTTTTCATCTAATACCTATTAAAGGTTTGCAAGAAAAAAATTCATGTTTTTGTCTAATACCTATTAAAGATTTTTTAAAAATTCATGTTTTCTATATATACTTAACTACTGTCTGGAATAATTTCTACAACTAGTATTATTTTCATGACAAAAACTTAACAAAGGATTTTTAACTTAAGGGTGAAATGCTCCATAAATACACCATACTGGGTAAAAAGCACTATATAAGTTGTACTATTATCCATACCATAAAAGTGTACATTATTGCCAGAATCAGTTACTCAGCAATTTCTTCAGTGCTGAAAAAGGGAGATGAGTTAAACTAAAACCTAAGTAGGAAATAATAAGATGTTTTCAGGCATTCACAAATAACAGACCTCCCAGCACAGTGACTGTTAACTTGGAATGGCCATCAGAATCACCTATCCCGACATATATTTTGAAAAACAACTCCCCCTCCAAATGTACCAATAGACAAATTAAAAATATTGCCTGAAGCATTTAGGGGGTGATGTGTCATAATGTTTGCAACATACTGTCAATTGAGTCAGATATGTGTGTAAGAGAGACAGAGTATGTACAGATAAATACCATGCATCTTTATATAGTTGAAACAAATGTGATTTTTCAAAAAGGTTCATAATAGTGGAATCTAGATGAAGCATTCTTTCAATTTTCTTATACATTTGAAAATCTTCATATACAGAAATTGAAAAAAGATCACTTCAAGTATATTTAAAGTATTTTAAGTATATTTTTCAATAACACATCCTGGTATTCTTCAATATTCAATACTGTGACATTAAGGGAGTAAAGTAAGATTTTTGGTAACAAAGCATATTTTTGTTAAGATTAGCTATCTTTATTCTCACTTTGAAAATATCTTTACCAGCCTGGGCAACATAGGCAGATCTTATCTCTACAAAAATTCAAAAATTAGCCTGGCATGTTGGTTCACACCTGTAGTCCTAGCTACTCAGGAGACTCAGATGGGAGGACTGCTTGATATATAAATCAAATACATATGAAATTGAGGATTTCATTAGTAAAATGCCAAAAACAACCCAAAATTCCTCTTTATTCCCCATCCAAGTTCATTTCAGTTTTGTCATGAGGGTCATGAGGGTCTGTGAGGCTTGTGGAAATTACGTGTAATGTATATTTGTGGCATAAATACTGCTGAGTGAAAATGAAATTGGTTTATTTAGGTTTTCTGAATTGTTTGTTTTTATATCATTTCTTTTAACCATTCCAGATACATACCAAGAATGTTATAAATAATATTCTCAGAAGCTAAAAAATAACTCACTGAGAAACCCTTAATGTGTTAGATAAATTAGAATACTTAAGCAGAGCAAAACACTACATCCAAGAACATACATTCTTTTAAGGAACAATCTTTTCCCCAGAACAAAGATTAATTTGCCCAGTGGGAAGATTATGGAAACACTATTCCAGCACAAATAACCTCATAAAGGTCCCACCATAAGGCCTACCACAGCACCCAGCACACAGTGAAGGTTCTGAATGTATGAATATCCTCTGCATAAAGCATTCTAGGAAATAATTACATCCTCCTTCCAATTCCTGAGCACTTTATGACACACAAGGCATTAGTCATATTCTACCTTATAATATGGCTGTGTACTTGTCTCATAGCCTCAATTTATAAATTAGTAAAAACAGCATTATACAGAGAGCCAAGAGACAGGTGTCCATACTGTCATAAATGAGCTCTAGTCTTTTTCATCTTGGAATTATTTCATTTTACGAAATTTGTCATATGTAAAATACCTCAGTTTTAAAATAGCCTAATATAGGTTAATGGTTAGCCTGTATTAGGTTATTCAAAAATATTCAGAATACTCTCCCTCTCTTTTGTCCATCTGAAATGTATCTATCATAGATGTAAAACCTTTTGCAAATTTTTCTCATAAGATACATTTGACAAATTGTATACATCCTCAAAGAACAGAATTCTAGCCTGTGAGGGGAAAAGAAGAAAGCCATAGTAAAGATGATACTAAATGCAACACAGTGGCCTGGACTGAAGGATCTTGAAACAGAAAAAGTACAACTGATGAAATCCAAATAAAGTGTATAGTCCATTAATAGCATTGCACTAATGTTAATTTCTAATTTTTTGAAACCATGGTTATGTAACATTTTAGTATTAGAGGACACTGGGTGAAGGGTATACAGGAACTCCATCTTTGCAACTTGTCTGTAAATCTAAAATTATAACAAAATGTAAAGTTTTAAAGATGACAACTGCAATAATTAGATCTGTTGAGTATATGTCTAGACAACACTCAAACAAGGAGTGAGGAGGGGTAGGAAAAGGAAAACAGCCAGACACGTGATTCAAGCTTCTCAAAGTTGTGATTAATCTTCCTGCCTGTTCTCAGGGCAGTTGGCGCTCAGGGTTCTATTTGGCTCGTTCAAAGCTCTACAGAATGCAACTTTTTTTTCCCCCTTAAAACCTCAAAGGAAATGACTTCCTTTTCCCTAAGTTTTCTTTTCTTTCTTGTAACACAAAGCAACTAGCACTGACAGTGCAAGTTATAAAAGATGCAACTGCTCAGGTTCCAGGGATAAAAGAAGAACTCTGAACTGTTTTACAATTCTACCAAATAAAGCATCTCCTATTTGGTGGGGGGGGGGGGGGGGGGGGAGCAGAGAAACCAGAGGAACCAGAATCAGTAGCTACTTATTTCATCTATAGTATTTAGTAAAGTTCATCTATATGGATTTAGTAAAGTTCATCTATATGCTAAAGAAGTCAACAGCAATCAACTCTATAGAACGTTTGTTGTAATCTTCTCTTCTCCATATTATTAGTCTGTGCTATTCTAGTGTTATTACTCTCAGGTGTCTCAACTCACCTGCCAAAAAATTCTTAGCCCCTCCAGCTTTCCTAAGAGACACAGGAAAATCATTTAACTCAGATAACAGAAGGAGGCACTCAGTCTCTCTCAAAGAAACATTTCTGCTTGTCAGTTGCTTGCTGTGAAAATTAATTACAAAGAATAGGAAAAATCAGATCAAATTTCTTATGCAATATGTTAGTGCAGTATGCATCCTTAATTTGGACTAAAAAAGTTGAAATTTAAAAAATACTTCAAGAAAAATTCTGTCTACTGTCAAGGACAAAATATTACTGATACTTATTACTGGATGTTTCATTAAATAGTCCATTGAGTCGGGTGCAGTGGCTCATGCCCGTAATCCCAGTGACTCTGGAGGCTGAGGCAGAATGATCATTTGAGGCCAGGAGTTTGAGACCAGCCTGGGCAACATACCAAGACCCCCGCCTCAACAAAAAAATTTTAAAAAGTAGCTAGTTGTGGTGGCACAGGCCTGCAGTCCCAGCTACTCAGAAAGCTGAGACAGGAGGATCCACTGAGCCTATGAGTTTGAAGCTGAAGGGAGTTATTATCACACCACTGTACTCCAGCCTGGGCGATGAAAAAGACTTTGTCTAAAAAAAAAAAAAAAACCAAAAAACCACCAACAAACGAACACTCCATTGAATAAGAAATTGATAACAGTAACACCCTGTTTTGGAAAAGTGTTATGTGAGAGTGGGAAAACAAGTACTCTCAATACTGTTGACAGAGATTTAAATTAGCACTACCTAGTCCTAGAAGAAAATTTGGCATTTTTAACCATTCTCCTCTGCAAAATGCAGGCAGATCTTATGTTGTGCTTAGCTTTATGGTGCTTCACAGATACTGCATTTTGTACAAACTGAAAAGCTGTGACACCTCTGTGGAGCATGTCTCTATCAGCACCATTTTTCCAACAGCATGTGCTCACTTTGTCTGTGTGTCACATTTTGGTAACTCTTCAATATTTCATACTTTTTCTTTACTATATCTGTTACAGTGATCTGTAATCAGTAATCTTTGATTTTACTATTTTAGAATTACAATAGTGTAAATTCTAAAATAAAATAGTAAAATCAAAGATTTGTTGATGGGAGTACCATCAACCTTGCCCACAGACGATAGTAAAGAGTGTTCAAGTGAAAGGAAGAGTCACGTTTCTCTCACTTTAAACAAAAAGCTGGAAATGATTAAATTTAGTGAGAAAGGCACATCAAAAGCCAAGACAGGTAGAAAGCTAATCCTCATGCACCAAAAGTCAAGTTCTGAATGCAAAGGAAAAGTTCTTGAAGAATATTACAAGTGCTACTCCAGTGAACACACAAATGAATAACATTGCTGATATGGAGAAAGTTTGAGTGGTCTGAATAGAAGATCAAACCAGCCACAACATTCCCTTAATTAAGCCAAAAGCCTAATCCACAGCAAGGCCCCAACTCTCTTCAATTCTATGAAGGCTAAGAGGTGAGGAAGCTGAAGAAAATTTGACTCTAGCAGAAGTTGGTTCATGAGGTTAAAGCTGTTGCCATAACATAAAAGTTTACATGAAGCAACAAGTGCCGATGTAGAAGCTGCAGCAAGTTATCCAGAAGATCTAAGATCACTGATGGTGGCTACACCAAACAACAGATTTTTGGTGTAGATAAAACAACCTTCTGGAAGAATATGCCATCTAGGCCTTTCATAGCCAGAGAAGGTTAAGTCAATATCTGGCTTTAAAGCTTCAAAAGACAGGCTGACTCTTTTGCTAGTGTCTAATGCAACTGGTGACTGTAAGTTAAAGTCAATGCTCATTGGCCATTCCAAAAATCCAAGAGCCCTTAAGAATTATTCCAAATTTATTCTGCCTGTGTTCTATAAATGGAACAATAAAGCCCAGAAGACATCACATCTGTTTACAGCATGGTTTACTAAATATTTTAACCCCATCTTTGAGACCTACTGGTCTGAAAAAAAGATTCCTTTCAAAATACTACTGCTCCTTGACATGGTACCTAGTTATCCAAGAGCTCTGATGGAGACATAGAAGAAAATTAATGTTGTTTTCATGCCTGCTAACACAACATCTATTCTCCAGCCCCATGGATCAAGGAGTAATTTTGACTATCAAGTCTTAGTATTTAAGAAATACATTTCATAAGGCTGTCAGACAGTGATTCCTCTGATGGATCTGGATGAAGTAAACTGAGAACCTTCTGGAAAGGTCTCACCATTCTAGATGCCATTAAGAACATACATGATTCATGGGAGGTAGAAATATTAACATTGACAAGGTGTTTGGAAGAAGTTTATTCCAACCCTCATGGATAACTTTGAGGGGTTTAAGACTTCAGTGGAGGAAATCCCACAGATGTGGTGAAAACAAAAAGAGAACTAGAATTGGAAGTAGAGCCTGAAGATGTGACTGGATTGCTGTAATCTCATGACACAACTTGAAAAGATGAGGAGTTGCTTCTTATGGGTGAGCAGAGAGAGTGATTTCCTGAGATCCAATTTGCTCCTGGCGAAGACGCTGTGAACACTGTTGAAATGACAACAAAAGATCTAGAATATTACATCAACTTAGCTGACAAAGCAGTAACAGGATTTGAGACAGCTGACTCTAATTTTGAAAGAAGTTTTACTGTGGGTAAAACGCTATCAAGCAGCATTACACGTACAGATAAATCTTTCATGAAAAGAAGAGTCAATTGATGCTGCAAACTTCATTGTTGTCTTATTTTAAGAAATTGCCACAGCCACCTCAACCTTCAACAGTCACCCCCTGGTCTGTCAACAACACTTAGGCAAGACCCTTCACCAGCAAAAAAATGACAACTCGCCGAAGGTTCAGATAATCCTTGGCATATTTTTAAGCAATAATGTATTTTTTAATTAAGGTATATACATTGTATTTTTAGACACAATGGTACCGCACACTTAACAGACTACAGCATAATGTAAATATAACTTTTATATGCACTGGAAAACCACAAAATTTGTGACTCATTTTATTGCAATATTCGCTTTATCGCAGTGATCTGGAACCAAACTTGCAATATCTCCAAGGTACGCCTGTACTCTCTTTCCCTGGCTCTTTTTTCGTCTTCATTTTACAACTCTGTCTTCCTTTGCTGATTTCTAAATGCTGTTTAGGCCTTGGAATTCTGTCCAAGGCCATTTTCTTTTTAATGAGATAAACTTTCTTCCCAGAAGATCTACATGCTGATAACTTGCAAGTAAATTTTACCCCAGATTTCTCTCCTGAACATTCCTCTTCGACACTCTGAATTCATGTTCTCCAATCTCAAAGATACCTTCAAAATTGTTCAACAATCCTACCATCCCTTGATAGTTCACTTTTCCACTTACCAAAAGTAAGAATAGCATGTCACATTTGGGGGATCTCCCTCAAACCTTAAATATCCTCTTCACCTCCTCTTTCACTCTCAACAGAACACACTCACTTTGTCCTCTAAGGAGATTACATAAATCATAAAAGATGAACCTCAACTTTTCCCATGAACTGTTTATCCCTTCCTCCATGATTTATCCCTTCATCCTTCATCCTTTATCCCTTCATCCTTGCCTCCTTCCTTCCTGCTCTGAGGATAATCCTTTAACACATGTGCTTTCTGGACCACAATCCTATTTTGTATTCCAGGAACCCTGCATTATCTACCCATTTCTCATTCTCATATTTATATTCTCTCTCAATATAAAGATTCACTCAGTATTTGTAAAATGAGTATTTATCAAAGAAGATAATCCAACAAGTCTATTTTTAGGAATTTATACAAAATACTAGTACAAATATTTAACTACAAGAGTATTCACCCTACTGTTTTCTAAATAGCTAAAACCTGGAAATGACTTACATAACCAGTAAGAGGTAAATGATTAAACTGTAACACATATGATCTACTGCAGAGCTATTAAAAAGCCACTTACCCCCAACCCATGGAAACACTCATAATTTAAAGTGAAAATAGGAGACTTGAAAACAGTATGAATTCTATGAGCCCATTTTTGTAATCAAAGTAGTATTTAAAACTCCAAATATATTTTGGTTACTAAAATGTTCTACAGACAGGGGTGATGGAATTACCAATGGCTGTATTTTCTTTTTACTTATCTATAATTTCTGATTTAGACAAATAAATCAGAACAGCTGAACAAAAAGATTTTTAAATTAAAACATGGTCTTATTTGGAAAGAGAAAAGGGTTTTGAGATTCCGTAAAGTTTTCCAGTGTCTTTGAGTTCTGATAAAACCTATCCTCATGTTGGCATCTTTACATATAGTAGCCAAAAACTGGGAAGAGCCTAGCTGCTCATCTACACGGGAATGGATAAAGGTGAGCAAACTGTAGCACAGTCATACAAAGGAATATTACTCAGCAATAAAAAGGAAAAAAGCTACTGATACAACACCATGGATTAATCTCAACCACGTTATGCTGAGTGAAGGTGGCTTACACAAAGCATGTGCTACATGATTCCATTTATATGAAATTCTAGAACAGGATAACCTAATTTATAATGAAAAAAAGTCAGAACAAGGATGAGAGGACTGACTCAGAAGGTCAAGCAGAAACTATCTGGAGTGACGCTGATATTCTACAACATGCCAAGTCTACACTACGCAAACGTGTGCATTTATCAAAACTCATCGAATGGTTCACTGAAGATTGTGCCTTTAGAACCTACCTGACAATGCACCTGCTGAAGAGTTTAGGGGTGATTTGTATAGAAGTGTAACTTAATTTACATGCATCTCCCTAAAAAAGGGTGGACAGATAGAGGAATAAAACAGATAGAGACACAATATTTAAAAACACAGAATCCAGGTGGTGGGTACAATTTTCTCAACTTTCCTATATGTTTGAAAATTCTTTAATAAAATGTTGAAAGATTTAACTCTCAGTAAAGTCAGCTAGAGAAAGCAAATTACCTGACTGAATCTGTGTATTCAAAGGCTAGAAAAAAAATAGAAACTTTCCTAGTTTTCCAATCACCAAATGATTTTATGATTTGGAGTAATTTTCAAGTGGGAGAAAACACTCCACCTTTACGTCACAAAAGACAGAACATTTTATAAATCAACTGCTTTTTTTGTAAATTAATACACTTTTCTACAAATTGACAAATATGGCTGCTTTCTTGGAGGTCTAATTTTCTTTTCCTTTAGATTCAGCAAGGTACATGTGCAGGTTTGTCACATAGGCATATTAAGTGATGCTGAGGTTTGGCTTCTAATGATCCTGTCACCCAAGTAGTGAACACAGTAGCCAATGTATAGCTTTTCAACCCTCGCCCCCTACCCGCTTTTGGAATCCCCAGTATTTATTGTTCCCTTCTTTGTATCTGTGGGTATCCAAATGTTTAACTCCCACTTATAAGTGAGAACATGTGGTAGATGGTTTTCTGTGTAAACCATCTTTGGACAGTGTACCCTTAATTTATTATAGGTAATATAATACATAAGAGTTATATCTGTGCCATGACCAGTTATGGAAATAATTAGACTCACTTTGATCCTAAATATTGAAAATACTGGTAAAGGGCACAGGCTAATAGATCTAAACAGGCCATCCACTAGTCATTAACCTTCCCCTAAAGGATGCAGAAAATAATACTTAAAAATCATATGTACAATATGCAATAGCAATATAAATTGCTAATTTATAGCACAGTAACTTTTCTAGCTTGATCTAAACTTTTAGAGAAATATAAATTTTAAAATATGAAAATCCCTGTTTTAGTCACCCTAACTAAATCTTGTTTAAAATGATCTTTAAATACTTTTAAATTGGGGGAAAGAAAATGACCTGAGAGCTTTAGCGTAATCCTCACTAATAAAAGATATATCATTCTAAAGATGACAAAGATCAGTTACAGAAAACAATGAAGACAACTAGGAAGAAAATGTTGAAACCTTTATAAATTTTGTTAATGATTTAGAGTCTGAATATAATCTCTCCACAGATTTATGTGGTATATATTACTGTATATATCATGTATGTATGTATAACCACACAGCTGTATGCACAAAAAGCCATACGTACTGCACTTTCAATGACTTAAGTGTTTTTCAAGGGTCATTTTGTATTTGATTTTTCAGTAATTTTATATTTGATTTTTGTCTTGTAGAGACTGACACCGAACCTAACCCCTAAGTAAGCAGCTCCACCATATGATACAGCCTACCACAATCCTCCCTCCACCTCCAACTATTCTACATCAGTTAACAAGTCTAAAAAAGCTTCACATGTATAATAAAAAATTCATTCAACAAATACTTCTTCAGATCCTAATATGAGCCAGGCAGTCATGCAGACACTTGATAAACACTGATGAGTAAATCAGACCTGGCCCCTGCCCTCATGGAACTTACAAGGTATGGAAGTGGAGGATGATCGAGAGGACAAACAAGTAAACAAACAAAAAATATATGTTTGTGTTAAGTGCTATGGAAGAAAGTTATGGAATGGAATGATGAAAAAAAAGAGAGGGAACCTATTTATGGTTATCAGGCTCAGCCTCTGTGAGGGGATAATACTGAAGTCCAGCCCTAAAGATTAAGTAGCAGCCAGCCTTGCAAAGAGCAAGAAGGAAGAGTATCCTTTCAGAAGGCACAACACGTGCAAAGGTCTCACAGGAGGAAAAGGCTCAGTGGGCTAAAGTAACAGAAAGGCCAGTGTGACTACAGCACAGTGGGAAAACTGCACAAACTGTAAACAAAGGCAGAATAAGCTCTGGTGGCTTAATAAAGATTCTGGATTTTTTTCTAAGTGCCAAAGAAAATCTTTAAAGAATATTTAAAAGAATGACACAGATTTATGTCTTTTCCTCTGAGCAGAAAGTGGTAAGATTTGCTCAAAAGCAAGGGGTGGGGGATAAGCAACTAGATACAGACAGTGCCATTAACTAACATGACAGAGTGAGGAAAAACATTTTGTGGCAGTGTTGTTTAGGGGGGAATTCAGAAGCTTTTGGGCATGATACTTTTGGGATGCCTGTGAGACAGCCAAGAGGTACGTTGAGTAGCAGCTGGATGTCAGTCAGGGGCTGGTAGTTAGGAATATTGATCAAGTTATTTAAACTTACCTAGAATGTTTATAAAATACAAATCAATAGGCCACACTCCAGATCTACCGAATAAGAAAGGGCTTGCACATCATTAACATTGTCAAGTGATTCTGATGTCAACTGGAGGAGTCTGGGAACCACTTACGTAATAAATTTTAACGTTCTTTTTTTTCTTTTTTCTTTTTTTTTTTGAGACAGAGTCTCGCTCTGTCGCCCAGGCTGGAGTGCAGTGGCACAATCTTGGCTCACTGCAAGCTCTGCCTCCCAGGTTCACAACAGTCTCCTGCCTCAGCCTCCCGAGTAGCTGGGACTACAGGCGCCCGCCACCATGCCCGGCTAATTTTTTGTTTTTTTAGTAGAGACGGGGTTTCACCGTGTTAGCCAGGATGGTCTGGATCTCCTGACCTCGTGATGATCTGCCTGCCTCGGCCTCCCAAAGTGCGTGAGCCACCGCGCCCAGCCATAAATTTTAATGTTCTATTTCATCACCTAGGGATATATTGCTTTACAGAGGAAAACAATATATTGAGCAATATGTTATGAAAATGATTTGACTTAATAATCCAGAGCTATTTAGTCTCCTACAGTCATACAGCATTATAGAGGAAACACTTCCAATTAGCCATTTTTTCAAATGACATTTACTGAAGGCCATTCTGAAGGTAAATAATTTCTTCTATTTCATAAATATTTTCTTGAAAAACACCCATGAAATATCTCACAAATGAGTAAATCAAGGTTCAGAAAGGTGGAGTCTTGCCCACAGGACACACAATCAATAACAAAGCCAAGATTCAAAAATCAAGACACTAATTCCAATCTGCTTTCCACCATACAAAAATGCCACTCACCCCCAAAAATCTCATCATCTGTGACATGTACAAAAATCACTGTAACTAGATAAAAAAGAATGAGTACCTTAAAGGAAACAGACAGGACAATCAGAATTAAGAAACAAAAATTTTTTCTTCATTTTCACTACTTAAAAGATTTTTAACTAGTTGATGTATATAGAGTCCACCTTTCAAAGTATCCACAAATGCTCCTAAATAAACACCAAAAGTGTTTGAATCCTATAAAGTCCTAAGACTGTTTCCTAACTTAATGTACGATCTCTCCACAGATTTAGGCACTTTTTGGGGGGGAATAAATAAAAGGCAGCCTGTACAGTGACTTTGCCTTCAGAAAGCTCTGTGTAAATCCCAGCTCACAACTTGCCTACTAACAGCAAAACCTCATGAGGTCACGGGGTTAAAGAACCTATACATGTACTTTTAAAACAGTCATTATCACTTACAGTTATTATTGTAAGAGCATGCAAATAATAACCTATGGCTGTCTGAGATTTTAACACAAAATGTTGGATTTTGCTTTATTTTTGGTGTATACTTCAAACTATCTACCTTTTACTAGTATGTTTCCTAAAATGTTTACAAATTCTCTGTCCTGACCACCCCTGGTCTAGGGTTCATCCCCTGACTATAAGATCAGGGTCCCTCTTTACTTACCCTTTCCTAGCAGTTCTAACAGTAACAACTCATTACCCCCAGGCTAGATTTTAAGTTCCTTGAAAGCAGAAGCTGTGTCTTGTGCACTTCTCAATCATTCATCGGAGTACTACATGTGCTTTACACTAATCTAGGTCCTAAAAATACAGCAGTGAACGAAACTAAGTTCCTGCCCTCTCAGAGCTTATATTCTAATAAGATAAGAAAGACATAAAAACAAATAAATAGATATCAGTTAGGAATAAATACCATACTATTTTAAAAGGTGGGCTATGGAGTCTTGTGAGAGCTGGGGAAGTTGCTATTTCACATAGGCTATCAGAGAAAGCCTCACGTATATGAGAACCTGCAAAAAGTGGAGCAGCCACACAGGTATCTGGAAAAGAGGAGTCATCCAGACAGAGGGAAAAGCAAGCACAAAGGCGCTGAAGCAGGAACATACTTCTTGGCAAGAAGAGTAAGGCGGCAAATGTGTGTGTGGTTGAGACAAGAGAGACACAGGAGAGGGCAGGCCCTGAGAGCAGAAGAATGACATGATCTGAAAGAATCACAGAGGCGTCTGTGTGGAGAATAAAGAACAAAAGCATTGAACCTCATTAAAGTACTGCAATAATCCAGGAGAGAGAATGGTGACGAACCAAGGGAATGATGATGGCCTGATGGCCGTGATGATGATGGTGCTGGTGAGAGGAGGAGGAGGAGGAGGAGGACGAGGAGGAGGAGGAGGAGGAGGAGGAGGAGGAGGAGGAGGAGGAGGAGGAGGGGGAGGAGGGGGAGGGGGAGGAGGAGGAGGGGGAGGAGGAGGAGGGGGAGGAGGAGGGGGAGGAGGAGGAGGAGGAGGAGGAGGAGGAGGGGGAGGAGGAGGAGGAGGAGGAGGAGGAGGAGGGAGGAGTCGTCGTCTAGTTAGGTTTTGAAGATACAGCCCCTATTGCTCATAAGCAATAAGTGGCTGAGAACTCTAAAACCAGCAGTCATGCTAACCGCATGTACTGAACTTTGGAAGTTCATTTCTCAAGGCTCTCCATCTTATTATCCATTTCAGGTAAAGGTCTGAACTGATTAAGAACAGCTCAGCACCTTCTGGTTTGGGAAGAGTGGGACTGCCATTAATTGAGATAAGGAAGTCAGAAGCAATCTCAGAAAGTGTCTAGTACATGGTAGACACTCAAATATGTGAGAATTCAGTTTAACTGAACTCCCAAAATGAAGGAAGTAAACTCAATGTCCTGGTTTCCATTTGCTCTAATATTCTTTCAGTAACATTTGCTAACTACACAAAGAGACTTAACCATGACCACACAGTTTACTACAAGTGTTAAAAAAGAAATCTTACACTGGACCCAGCAACTAATCCTTACCTCTCAAAAATCATTTTCAGTTTTAAATCTACAATTCTTCTGGACATAGAAGAAATTTGCTTTGAAAATTTTGTGACAGCCTGAGGATTCTTAAACCCAAAGTAATTAACCCGTTCATTAATGATGTCATATTCCTGGAAGGTATAGTAGTGCAAATAGAACTCCCTAGGCCAAAATTAATTGAAAATTATAATACTTCACGATAAATTTTCAGAATGCAACAAGACTGAACAAGTCCCCCTAATAAAACAAGCCACAAGCCATCAGCATTTCTTAATGGCTTTTTTTTTTAACCTCAAACAATAAGTCCCTTCAAAACAATTTCAACGAAAAATGTGAATCTGCTTGAGAATGTGCACATCTTCCCTCAAGCAGACACTTTTCCTGCCAATTAGTGAAACTGAACTTCACTTAGGGAAGAATTGGGTGTCCTCACCTTTTGCACTTCTCATAGTGGTCCTCCGGGATTTTCTAACTCAGCACCCTGTCTCTAGCTCCACAAAGAACCTCAAAGTTAGCAGAAATACATTCAAAGGAATTCTCCTAAAATAAAAAGTTCAGATCCTTTCCTCCCCTCTGACTACTTTAAAATTTTATATGAAGCCTTAAGTAACATCTCTGTCCACACGAGTTTCCCTAACGCCCCACCCTAACCTGTGCTTTAGAAACTGCGCTTAACAACTTTCAATGTTGCTTTAAAAACACAGATGATTCAGAGAAGCTGATCGCACCGAATTCAGCAACAGGCAGTACTCTCTCTCCCTACTCCTATCCGCCAAAGGCCTTGAACCAAGCCAAACAAATCTGCTGAAATGCCAGCCAGATTCCCCGTTATCTCCCCGCTCCCTCCCCCCAGGGAGGCCAGGAAGCACCACGGCCACCGGCCACGGGGCCGAACAGAGAAGAACCGCTGCGAAGCACAACAACGGTTTTTTAGAGGCAGGAGGGTTCCGAGCCGGGTTTTCAGCCACCACCCAGGACCCCTGGAGGACGAGCCCGGACGACCCCCACACACACTCGGAGCAGAGCCGCACGGTCCCCCGCGCTCCCGGGGCTCCGCACGCGGATTAGCGGCGAGGCGGCGGGCGGCCTCTCCCGGGAGCCCCGGACGAGGGCCGCGGCGGGGGCGGGCAGTGCCGGATGCCGGGCGCCCGAGGAACCCAGCGTGCCAAGGATGGATGCGGCGTCCCCTAAAGCCGCAGAGCGCTCGGCGCCTGCCACACAGCCCCACGGGCGGGGGGCCCCGGCGGGGACGGCCTAGCCGAGTGGCCGCAGGAGGGAACCCCGAGAAGGGGCCTAGGACGCTGCCGCTTCCCAGTGAGCGGGCGGGGGCGGCCGGCGCGGGTTGCCGTGGGCTCGTTGCTCGTGTCACCTCCGAAACCAGGAAAGCCCCGAAGAGAGGAGTGGGAGCACGCAGTGGGGGCGGGGAGCCTCACACCGAGAGGGTGGCGGCCCCCGGGGGACGAGACCCCGTGGAAGAGGAAGAGGGCGCGACCCCAGCATCTCCCCACCGGCTCGCGGGGAAGGAGCCACCCGCTCCCCGCCCCCACACTCACCATGTAGAGGGTGAAGGGCAGGCCCAGCAGAAAGAGCCACAGGTAGAGGTGCAGCGCGTTCACGAAGGTGGCCTGGTGCGGGTCGTAGTACCAGCCCCCGCTGAGCGCGGCCCACACCCCCTGTCGGAGGATCTGCAGCGTCTGCGACCCCATCCCCACCCGGCGCCGCCGCCGTCGCCGCCGCCGCCGCCGCCGTCCCCGCCCCGGCCCCAGCTCGGCCTCGGTCGCCGGAGCCTGCAGCTGCCCCGTCTATCCACCTCCGGAGCTCCGGGTGAGCGAGCCGGCGCTTCGGCGGTCGCTGGTGCTGCTGCAGGAGGAGGAGGAGGCAGCAAACGAGGAGGAGGAGACCCGAGAGGAGGAGGCGGCGAGCGGCGGGGCGGAGGACGGCGGAGAGGAGGAGACCGGCCTTCTGAGAGCCGCCGCCATCTTGTCTCCTAACACCCGGAGCCGCGGCCCGGCCCCCGCCACCCGCGGCCCGCCAGCGCCCCCACTGCCGCCGCCGCGACCCCCGCCGGCCGCCAGCCCTGGGCCAGGCAGAGAAAGAGGCCCGGCGCCAGGGAGCGACCGAGAGGAAGCCGCGCCCCCTCCAGCTCCTCCTCTCCGCTCCCTCCGCCCCCTGGGCCGGCTACGGTGCGCGCCGCGCCTGGTCCGCCGCGGGCGCCTCCTGCCGACGTCCGGGAGAAGCGCGCGTCAACGCGGCCGGGGTTCAGGGCCCCGGGGGCTGCGGAGGTGGCTGAGACGCGGCTGGCTGGTCCGGAGGACCCCATTCTGCCCCTGGTAGGCCCCCTGGCAAGTTCGCCTACGAGTCTCTAAACGGGGTCTTTCTGACTCCGAAACTAACAGATCTTGACTCCAGAAAAGCGTCCTGCCTGTCATTTATGATATTTGTGAAAGACCTAGGAACAACTGAAGCTAACACCTGAGATACTGAAGGCCTGGAAGAGTTAGGTACGGCTGATGACACTGTTGAAAAGTCATAAACGCACCCAAGTTGAGCAAGAACTGTGTTGGCCCGTGTGTGAGAAAAAATAGCCACGTCCAGACTGGGAGAATTTACTACTTCCAAAGACAAGTTAATAGAAGCGGCACAGGACATGGAAGTATGGAGTGGACAGGTTACCATTTGTACGCGGTGATTGTATTTTTAAATGTGCTGTAACTAGCAGCCATTTTTATTAATGGGCCAATCTAAACAGGGTTGAAAAAGATTAACCGTGACGCCACCCCAAATTACAATAGGGTCTTGTAGATCTCTTTTTATAGCTGTAAAAACGGAATCATTCTTGGCTCTGTGTAATGTTTATAAGGCGTGTCTGATCTCACTGAATAAAATTTTATAGAAAAGTTTGAAATTTGAGTTTATTGAAGTTTGGCTTTTATGGCAATAAAAGTACTGTGTATTCCCAGATTACAGTTGCTATAATTAATGAGGGAAACAAGAGCCAAAGGAAACTGGTGATATTTTAAGAAGAGTAATGAAAAACCGTTACAATACCTCCCAGTGCCATACCACTTTATAGTTGCTCAGACACTATCACACCCATTCCATTCAGACCTCAGGACAACCCTTTGAGGGCAGCATAGCAGCTATTGTTATTTTATGGATGAGAAAACCTGTAAACTCAAGTAAGTGATTGGCCAAATGCTTATGGCCACTTATTGCTCATAAGCAATAAGTGGTTGAGAACTCTAAAACCAGCAGTCATGCTAACTGCATGCACTGAACTTTGGAAGTTCATTTCTCAAGGCTCTCCACCTTATTATCCATTTCAGGTAAAAGTTTGAATTGATTAAGAACAGTTCAGCACCTTCTGGTTATCTGTGACCAGCTTAAATACATGACCAGTTTTCGTCAAAGTGCAAATTCTTAGGGCATCATTCTATAGACACTCTGTGGGGTGGTACCCAGCAATCTGTTTTAACAAGTCCTCCGGAGGATTCTAATGTAGCTTACCACTGTAGAACACCACACCATCCCTAGCCTTGATTTGTTTATGTCCTTATAACCACAAAGCCACTGAGTTCCAGTAAGATACCTTGAAATTGAGAGCTGTGAGTAAACACTGGACAAAATATACTTTAAAATATATTTGTATATCTAAAAGCAAAATTATGATTAAATAATGCAATTTTACAATTAAAATAGTGGCCTTGAAGCTGGTGTCATAGATACCAGCTATTGTCAAGTTTTCATTTGTTTCCCCTAAAGGAGACAGGAAAGCTCTCTGGGAAGGTTTTGGAAGTAATCCCAACCTTTCCAACACAAAGAAAGATGTAAACAAGGATAAAATTCCAATACCACATCAGTTTCCACAACAGCAAAGATCCGCTATGGTTTAATATAAAAGGATTAACTGTAATGAGGGTGAGGTGGATGGGGAGAAATGGAAACTAGAACCAGATACATCCGTGGAATCGGAGGCCAACCCAGCTGGCGTGATAAACGTTCAGCCAGAATGCAGTATCTGGAGGATATGGAACCGGCAGCAGGCCAGGAAGGCAGCCGGCATCAGGCCTGTTAAACAGAGAATGTGGGTGTTGTAAGCCAATGGACAGCTGGAACACATAGCCTTGGAAAATCCAGGAGTGGGCAAAAATTGGGAAATCACGGCAAGCCTTGAGAAAGTGTGTTGCTTATAGCAAGGCCCCAGCTTCAGTGCTGGGGTTTTCTAGGTCTGCCCTTTCGTTTCTACAGGGAATTGATGAAAACAAATAGAACTCAGATCCTTGAGCTACTGAGATACTCACTGGAGGCCCAAGTTTGAGGACCCAGCAGGACAAAACAAATATTCAAAGGCTGGATCTGGGGGGACAGAGTGAGACTTACAAACAAAGCAGGAGCCTAATACCTAGAACTAGGACCAAACTTCACACTGAGCATGGTTGCCTTATGTTGAAGTCCCAGAGTGTTAATATAAAGCTCTAGTTGCCCTCCAAAATGACTGGGATTGATCCCAGAACCTGAGGTGTGAGTCACATGGCAATAGCCATTGGGTGAAAAGGGGTTAGCAGGATTGGCAGGCCCAGAGAGTAGAAACAGCAGTTAGAGACTACATCTTTCAGCTCTGGACTGGTAGGAGCATTTTAGAAAAATACTAATTAACTGACTTAGGGAGTAGCAATTGAGAGTATCCAGTGAAAAAGCTGACCTTTCCAAATGACTGACTCAGTCATTGGGACGGGGTGGATGGGGGGGAATGAGGGGGCGGGGAGAAAGACAATCCTACAGCGCTCTCTGTAGCTCTCAAAATGTTTGTGAATACTGCCTGCCACAACAAGCTTCCTATTTTATAAACTAGAAGCTAAGGCAGAGAGAGGTTAAATGGTTTACTCAAGGTAGCACACTCCATCATGCCCATAAAATATAACAGCAGGACAAAAATCCAGGGAACTAATTTTGCTAAGTGTTAACCCTCTTAGCCATGCATAGAAGCCATTAATAATGTTACACTTAGCATGTCAAAGTTAGCAGCCATGACATACTACCAAATCACCATTTGACATTTGCTCATCTCTCAGCTAATCCTATTAAAATTATATTTTCTGACTAGCTCATAGGCCTCCTGGGGACTGAGAGTACTCGACAGCAGATGCTGTCTCCTGCCTGAAAAGGACAAAGCTGAATGTACGAAATCTAATAACCCCACCCAAGCCCACCTTGGAGCAGAGTCATGCAAACTGCAGCTCTGATCCATTTTTGTGTGGCAATTATCTGTTTTAGACATTATGGCCCACATGTCCTGCCAATGATCCAGACGCAGTAAGTATCCATGTCTTCCCCCAGTCCTGCGCCTCTTCTTTGTCTTCGTGAAACCAACATTTTCCAGCTCACTCAGACTTGGAACCTCATATATCCTTCCCCAGTGTCTAGTCTCCACAGGCTTTCTCCTGCTCAACCCTTCCCTTACGTTGCCAGATCAACCGTTCTGGAGAATCCCCTCATCAAGTCGTACCCAGCAGTCTGCTATTACCACCAATTTCTCCTCTTCTAAACCATTCTACCTTCCACTAACAAATTAATCTCCCTAATCCACTTTTCTTAAAAGCCTTTAATTCCCTTCAGGACTAAAGGGATACTCCTTAGCCGGGCAAAGACCCCAGCAACCTGAATCACTATTTTCTCCAACTTAACTGCCGCTACTCCCCAGCATGAACCCTTTTTATTGGTGAATATCAGTATAACTATTTATGTTTATCAGCCCACTCATTTATTAATTTCTGCCTCTGTGCTTTTACTGACACCATTTGCCTTACTTAGAAAACATTACCCCTCCACCTGCCTGCTAAAATCCACTACGTCTACTCCAAACCCATTCTTCTATTTTTTGAACAGCCTAGAGCACTCACATGTTCCACTCATTTAGCGTTTAATTATGTGCTACTTCAAATCCCTCCATCTAAACTGTACATTCCTTGAGGGCAAGGCACTTCTCAGCATGTTCCACAGGGCCTAGCAGAGAAAGCTGTTAGCATCAATTAACACTCAGTTCATATACATTGATTAAACAAAGCACAGAAACCAATGGCTTTCCAATTAGAGATTTTAATCTGTTTTTTCTTTTTTTCTTTTCTTTTTTTTTTTTTTGAGATGGAGTCTTGCTCTTGTTGCCCAGGCTGGAGTGCAATGGCGCAATCTCGACTCACTGCAACCTCCACTTCCCGGGTTCAAGCGATTCTCCTGCCTCAGCCTCCTGAATAGCTGGGATTACAGGCACGCGCCACCACGCCCAGCTAATTTTTGTATTTTTAGTAGAGACAGGGTTTCACCATGTTGACTAGGCTGGTCTTGAACTTCTGACCTCAGGTGATCCACCCGCCTCGGCCTCCCAAAGTGCTAGGATTATAGGCGTGAGCTACCGTGCCCGGCCTAATCTGTTTCATCATTCATTTGGTAATTCTTCAACATTTCAAAGCATTTCACCAGCTTAGAATAGCAGTTCAAGGAAGGAAAAAATAATATGAAATGAAGGTGAAGAGAATTTGGAAGAGAAGGCTGGGCGTGGTGACTCACACCTATAATCCCAACACTTTGGAAAGCCTAGCTGAGAAGATCACTTGAGCCCAGGAGTACGAGACCAGCCTGGGCAACATGGCGAAACCCCATCTCTACAAAAAATACAAAAATTAGCTGGGCATGGTGGCGCAAGCTTGTGGTCTCAGCTACGCAGGATGCTAAAGCAGGAGGATCACCTGAGCCTGGGAGGTCAAGGATGCAGTGAGCTGTGATTGCACACTCCAGCTTCAGTGACAGACTTAGACCCTGTCACAAAAAAAAAAAAAAAAAAAAAGGAAAGAAAAGAAAAAAAAGAAGTGCCCCAGAATTCTTCTGTGGATCTCTTTTAGCCATTTGCTGTGTACTGCTTTAGATCACATCAGGAAAATAAATATCAAATGGAAACTTCCCAAATCTCACATAATATAATTATAAAATACCATCATCTGGATATGAAGCTAAACAAGTGAAAATAAAAGACTTTCTTACTAACTAGGAGATGATTCTTCTTGGAAATCTCAACCCAATCTCCTTTTTTTAAATGTCAACTCCATATGAGTAATTTAAAATATGTTTTTAGTGACACCAACTACTTTAGTAATTCTTGTTATGGTTTTGTGTCATCCTGAGAGTGTCTTCTGTCATGTCTCAAAAAACCAATTCACTTTTCTTAAACTTACCACACTTTGGGAGCAGGGCAATGAAAGGAAAGGGAAAGCATGCAAGATACTGCGAAACTCCCCAGATATTGTGAATCCCTAAATTAAAAATAATATACACATGAATTGTTTTTCATCTTTTGACATTAAAAGATTCTTCTATGTCAGTCTGATGTCTAATGTGCTTCACTATATCATATGAAAGAGCTTGTTTATCTTTTTTTTTTTTTTTTTGAGACAGGTTCTCACTCCGTCACCTAGGCTGGAGTGCAGTGGCGCGATCTCAACTCTGCAACCTCCGCCTCCTGGGTTCAAATGATTCTCACGTCTCAGACTCCTGAGTAGCTGGGACTACAGGAGAGCACCACTACGCCCAGCTAATTTTTGTATTTTTTGGTGGAGACGGGGTTTCACCATGTTGGCCAGGGTGGCCTCAAACTCCTGACCTCAAGTGATCTGCCTGCCTCAGCCTCTCAAGGTGGTGGGATTATAGGCGTGAGCCAGTGCTCCCAGCCTTGTTTATCTTTCTATTTCAGCTGGGGTAGCATAATTCCAACAGGACCTACTAGGCCAACTGATGTGGCTGGATGATTCTCTGAAGAGTTCACCCCCTGTATTAGTAGCTACCAGTGTCATCCAGAGCGCCTCCCTGTAGCTAAGTAGAAGTGAGAGTTGTCACCTTTGGAGGCCAGATGTCTGGCTCCTCTGGCAAGGAACACCAGGAACATTCCTTGGTGAGAAGGTGGTGTTCATAATGGAAAGGGCCTGGGGGCTGGAATCAGATGAATCTGTGTTTTAATCCACCTTCTGCTACTTTCTAAATTAGTCCTAGCCCCTAGTCAAGGAATCCGAGCAGAATTGAAGAGTCCTGGGGAATTCAAGGTTGCAGACTCATTGCATTTCATTTTGATGGCTGGAGCTTTTTTCTAATGACAAAAATAACATTCCAATGACATCATAAAAAGATCTTTCCCTTGGAGATTTTTCACTGCTTTCTTTATGGAAACCTTGACAGCACATGGGAACATATTTCTTATTAGTTTTTTTTTTTGTCTGTTTGGGGTTTTTGATTTTTAGCTGGGTTTTTGTTTTGTTTTGCCTCACCTACTGTCACCAGGATTCAGTGGCTGTTAATATACATAAGTATTTTCTAATTATGTACAAATAATATGTTTTGTATATACATCATAGGAGGGTGATACATATCAGTATAAAATCTCTCAAATCAGTAAAGATCAGGACACAAAGTAAAACCTCCCTGTTCCTCCAGTTTTCTTGCTCCGTTTCTCTCAACATTTCCTTCCTGTAAACTCATTATATTTTTAGGTCCTATGACAAGTGTTTCTCAATGTGTATATAGTCCATGAATGACCCCAAGTCAAAATCTTCTATTAAACACAGAATCCCAGCCAGGTGCGGTGGCTCACGCCTGTAATCCCAGCACTTTGGGAGGCCAAGACGGGCGGATCACGAGGTCAGGAGATTGAGACTATCCTGGCTAACACGGTGAAACCCCATCTCTATTAAAAATACAAAAAATTAGCTGGGCATAGTGGCACATGCCTGTAGTCCCAGCTACTCGGGAGACTGAGGCAGGAGAATGGCATGAACCCAGGAGGCGGAGCTTGCAGTGAGCCGAGATCGTGCCACTGCACTCCAGCCTGGGTGACAGAGCAAGACTCCATCTCAAAAAAAAAAAAAAAAAAAAACATAATCCTAGAGCCAGGTGCCATGGTGCACGCTGATATTCCAGCTACTTGGGAGGTTGAGACGGCATGATCACTTGAGCCCAGGAAGGTGAGACCAGCCGAGGCAACATAATGAGACAATATCTCCAAAAACAAAGAAACAAACATATAATCTAAGTTATGGTGCTTTATACATAGGGTACTGAAAAACTCCCTCAGTGTTGGGTATCTCTGAAATAAAGAATTAGTATAAACATCTATTGTTTTCTATCTTTTGATATTAAAAGATAGAATTCCAAGCAGCCAATAGAATACTGAAGTATCTTTTAATGAACTAATAAGGATTGATCTTTAAAATATATGGTGAAGTGGCTGGGTGCCGTGGCTCACGCCTGTAATCCTAGCACTCTGGGAGGCTGAGGCAGGCAGATCGCTTGAGCTCAGGAGTTCAAGACCAGCCTGGACAACATGGTGAAACCACATCCCTACCAAAAAAAAAAAAATACAAAAAATTAGCTGGGTGTCATGGTGCATGCCTGCAGTCCCAGCTACCTGGGTGGCTGAGGTGCAAGGATCATGTGAGCCCAAGAGGTCCAGACTGCAGTGAGCTGAGATCATGCCACTGCACCCAAGCCTGGGTGACAAAGTGAGATCCTGTCTCAAAAAAAAAAAAAAAAAAAAAAAAATATATATATATATATATATATATATATGTGGAAAAAAGTATATAACAGCACTTGTCATAAGAGAAAAGAATGTATTTTATGTGATTATCTGTGTACTGAATGTCCCTAGCAGAACATGTGAGAAAATGGCAGCAGGAATTGCCACAGGGGTGAGAGACCTTACTTTTGATTGTATATCTTTTCTCTTAATGAATTTTACATTATGCACATGTTATCCTTTTTTTTTTTTCTTTTGAGACACAGTCTCACCCTGTCACCCAGGCTGGAGTGCAGTGTCAGACCCCTCAATCTCCGCCTCCTGGGTTCAAGCCATTCTTGTGCCTCAGCCTCTCGAGTAGCTGGGGTTACAGGCAGGCACCACCACACCCAGCTAATTTTAGTAGAATCAGGGTTTCACCATGTTGGCCAGCCTGGTCTCAAACTCCTGACCTCAAATGATCTGGCCACCTTGGCCTCCCAAAGTACTGGGATTACAGGCCTGAGCCACTGCTCGTGGCCTGTGTTACCAATTTTTAAAAAGTAATAACCTGGTGGAGAAAGCCGATTCCTATCTTGTACCCAAGACTTGCTAAATTGAAATCTCTCACATGGAGCCTGGAGACGTGCATTTTTAACAAGCTTCTTTATTCTTCTGCAAACTGGTATTGAGAAGCACTGTCCTTGGCCTTTCCTTTTTAAACACTTCTTTCCTCTTTTTTTCCTCTGAACTTCCTACCATCACCACCACCACCTCTTCTCCTCCCTCATTTCCTCATCCATGGTGGATCTCATAGTTTTGCAATTCAATCATTCCACAGCTAGTGATTTTTCACTCTTTTCTCCCCAACCTTGCCATCGGCCAAAACCATGGCACTGGATGGATTTGCTTTCTCTGCCACCAGCATGCAGGCTAGCACTTTCCAGGTTGTGACCCTAACTGTTACCTGGAGTCCTCCTGGCAGTTCTCCAGTTCTCACTCAGCACTTCTTGTGTCTTTATTAATGACTTTTAAAATCTCACCAACGTCTTTCATACAACCCACACCACCCTCTCTCCCACAGAAAACATAGAGGGTATCAGACAGTAATTCCTCAGTTTCCTGCCCCCCCAACTTATAAATTTATTCATATGTACAGTCATCCTTTGTTTTCTTTTTTCCTTTTAAGGTGTTGTTCTGCCTAAGAAAATGGCTTCACCTGTGCTCTCCACCCCACCACCTAAACCCTACTGGGTTTGTTAACCTTGGTCCCTCAGGTACCACCAGCTTTTCCTTTCTGCTGGCACTTTCCTCCAGCCCAGAAACAGGCACTCTTATCCTCAGGGCTACTTCCTCCTCTCCCTCACAGCCAACTTTCTTAAGAGTGAAACAGTGTCTTTCACCTGCCTTGACCTTCGCTGTCATCCCTGCTTCTGCCCACATCATCAATGATTTCCTAGTTGCCATATCCAGCAGGCATTTTTCAGTCCCCGGCTTATTTAATCTCTTTGCTTCCAGGTCACTGCTCCTTCTTCCTGGTTTCCTCCTCTCTAATTACCCTAGACTTGAGTCTCCTTTATGGAATCCTCATCTTCCCTCTACTTCTCAGGATTGTCAGAAAATAAATAAGGGGGAAAAATCCCATCATCCACTTCAGGATTCTTTTTGATCCAGAAGATGATGAGACAGCCTCCCAACCTGAATTATGTAGTGACCCTCAGCCTGTGGAATGACTAGGAAATGAAAACAAATTCCTTATGAGGGGTGATTAGAAATATGACACCTCAAAAATATTGTGAAAAATCATGGTCTGAAGAACAGAAAAATGAGCTCTGCTTTAAACATGACAACTGTATTCTAAATTTGCTTTTTGGGTTTTGTTTTAAATCCCTCAGTCCTAATAGCCTCGAGTTTACTAGGAATTCTTAAATTTCCTAATCTCTAATTTATGCAGAGGTTTTATGAGCATGTATTTATTTATCTATCCACTCTTCCTTTGGACTTGTATTTTGAAAACCTGACAACTTATTGAGAGTTTGCTTGGGCCAGCCTCTCCACCATTTTACATCCAATTGGTCTTTTGTATTTAGTTTTTCATCCTAAAAGTAACACATTCATGGTATTTTTATCTGAGAAAATATAGGAAAGAGAGAGAAAGCTTTGTTAATAGGCCCACTGCCCAATCACAACCAGTGTAAATGTGTGATAACTTTTGTCCTGGTCTCTCCAGCCCTTCCTCCCTCTGCTTCTGTACTATATTCTAATTGGAGTTCAGAGCCTGATTTGGAAAGTTTTTATATCAACACATGCCATGTGCTTTGGCAGTTTGCTAAGTCTGAGAAACTTCAGAGACATTTTTTCCTTCTGACTTACCCATGTGTTTCACTTAGATTCTTGGAAACATTCTCTGTGCTACATGGCTACTAGCCTGCAGTTTCAAGTAACAGAAAATTCTATACAAACTCACATCGACAATAAGGAAAATGATCACTTCATACAACTGGAAGTCCAGGAGGCAAGCAGGCTTCAGGAGCAGCTGAATTTCGTGGCTCTGGATCTCTCTCTCTGCAATGCCCTGTGATGACCTATGTGTGTTGGCTTTGGCCTTGGGTGGCTTCTCTCATGGAGGCAAAATGGCTATAGCCATTACAGGTTTCACATAGCGATGCCATCAATTAGAAGTTCACCTAAGAGCAAGGAAATTTCCCTCCCAGGAACTTCCAACATACTTTTGGTTACATCCCTATTCTTGAGTTAATCCCTGTCCTCAGGGCACTGCCATACACTGACTCATTCTAGCCTGGGTTCCTGAACCAATTACTGCCCAGGGGAATGGAATTACCCTTAGATCAGTCAGTCCCAAATGTGAACTGAGGCTTAGGGGATATGCTGGGAGGGATAAATGCCTACATAAAACTGGACTGTGTCAGGAATCAGAGAGGAAGAATAGATGTTGAATGCCTGTTTCAGAACACCGTCATCAACAAAGCATGTTGTCAGATTTTTGGATCTTTGGTAATTTGATAATTGAAAAACGATGTCTCCATGTAGCTTTAATTTGAATTTCTCTATTGTGAGTGAGGCTGAGCCACTTGCATGTGCCTAGGAGTCATGTGTACTTTTTTTCCTCAGGTCTTGCCTGTTCATATTCTCTGCCCATTTTTCTTTTCTTTTTTTAAATTTTAACTCTTATTTCAGATTCAGGGGGTACATGTGCAGGTTTGTTACAAGAATATATTTCCTGTTACTGCAGTTTGGTATATGATTGAGCCTGTCACCCAGGTAGTGAGCATAGTACCCAATAGTTTTGCAACACTTGCCCCTCTTCCTTCCTTCCCCCCTTATAGTCCCCAGTGTCTATAGTTCTTGTCTTTATGTCCATGTGTACTCAATGTTTAGCTCCCACTTATAAGTGAGAATATGTGGTATTTGGTGTTCTGTTTCTGCATTAGTTGGCAGCTGTATCCATGTTGCTTAAAAGGACATGATTTCATTCTTTTTCGTGGCTGTGTAGTATTCCATGGTGTATACATAGCACATTTTCTTTATCTAGTCACTGTTGGTGTCTTTGTCCATTTTTCTATTGCATTGTAGGTCTTTGCTTTCTTATTTGTAGAAGCTCATTATATGTTAGGGAAGTTGGTCTTTGGTCTATAATAGAGCTAGGCATATTTTTGCAATTTGTCATTTTTTGGCTATGTTTATGGCTTTTTCTATGCAGAAAATTTTGATGTTGAAAGATTGAATGTATTAATCTTTTCTTGTATAATTCTGGATTTAATGTCATCATTAGAAATGCCTTCTCCACTTTAAGGTGAATAACTCTCTTTTAGTTTCTTCTAATACCATGATGATATCATTTTATGAATTTAAATATTAATATCTACTTGGACTTTATCCAGGTCAGGTGTAAGGAATAAATTCAACTTTGATATTTTTCTCATTTGATTGACTTTCATTTTACACTGTTCCATGATGATGGCTGCTTCTTGCTTTGTGACACTCAAGGTTTTGCCAACATTCTCTACAGTTGTTTTAAAAATCTAAGTATTCATCGACTTTAATTAGCAAAACAGTTACTCACCGAGTTTCTGTAAGTTACTGTAGGCCATGATATATTTTAGAGGTTGGGGAAAGGATAGGGTAAAAAGGTCTTGAAATCACACAAAGAATAATGCTTGTTGCATTTTAATAATCATTGCTTTTTGGAAACGTGCTTACTCAGGTCCTATAGGATTGGGGGAGGTAGTTTGTCCTTGGTTGCATTCTAAGACTCTGCTGAGCCCCAGAGTCTTTTGTTGTTGCTGGAGGCAGTCTTGCTCTTTCACCGAGGCTGGAAGGCAGTGGCGCAGTCTCAGCTCACTGCAACCTCCACCTCCCAGGTTCAAGAGATTCTCCTGGCTCAGCCTCCCGAGTAGCTGGAATTACAGGCATGCATCACCATGCCTGGCTAATTTTTGTATTTTTAGTAGAGGCAGGGTTTCGCCACGTTAGCCAGGCTGGTCTCGAACTCCTGGCCTCAAGCGATCTGCCCGTGTCGGCCTCCCAAAGTGCTGGGATTACAGGCGTGAGCCACCTTACCCGGCAAGCCCCAGAGTCTTAATCAAGAAGAAGCCCACCATGGGGAATGAAGCCCCCTTTAAGACTATACAGGATACGGGAGCCCACCAGCAAAGACAAACAGAGACACATCTCTGTTCCTTAAGCTGTGGATTTTGGCAGTGGGACTGGCCAAATCCAAACACTCGGAAACACTCTACTTAACTACCTTTCACTGCAAGGAGAATGCAATATGCATTGTGACTCTCTAGTGGGATAGAAACTAACGCCACAACAACAGGATGTCATGGTCACTGCTGAGTAGAAATCTTTTGACAAGTACAAACAGACCTCTGCTATAGCACTGTCACATTGCATTATAGTTATTTGTTTACTTTTCTGTCTTTCCCAGGAGCCTGGGATTTTTTTTTAAGAGAGGAAGCTCTTTGTCTTCTTTGAACCCTGTAGCTTAATACACTCACCCCTGTGTGTTGGAATGTGCTCATTGCATGCTCTTTCTCTATGTGGGCAGTCTGCTTACACATCCCACTCTTTAGTACTCACTGTCGAGCAGCCACCATGTGTCAGCCACTGAATGAAGGCACTTCACATCATTGCCTTTTAAAAATTCTCACAATAGTTCTCTAAGGTAGGTACTTCTATTTTCCCCATTGTAATAGTGAGGGAACTAAGGGGCAACAGATAGGTCAAGTAACTTGCCCATGGTCATGGGGATAACAGGTGATGGAACCAAGACTCAAACCCCAAGTGGTCTAACTCCAGTGCCCACTGCTCACAACAGCTACACTACATTGTTTCTCCCCAGTGTCTTGGGAAGAAAATAAATTATATGTAAAACAAGTACTTACATTTTGCCTTCTAGAAGAGTGGCATAATTTATCTCCTGGGATATAAGTTGTTTTTCTGATTGCTGTTGTTTGTTAGAAAAATGCTTTGATGTTCCTATTTCAGTAATCCCACTCCCACTCCACCCAGGGCCGAGCAAGAAGAGAGCGAAACAAAGAAGGCTAAATTAGTTTGTATGAGAAAGAAATAGGAATTTGTGGGGTTTTAGCTGGCTGCTCAGAGAGATAGCCTAAGGATCTAAAAAAGAAGATTGAGATATAAGAGGGTAGAGAACTCTGGCCACTCCATGGGCCAGCTAAATCCTACACAAGTTCAAGGGCAGCAGGAAATTTCCTTTGCTGAGGAAGACTTGAGAAATTAAAAAACAACCCTGACCTATCAGCAATGGTTTGCAACCCACAATAAGCATATGTAAGAGGGATTTTTCAGGGAGGAAGAAAGAAAAATCATATCCAAAGTGAAACAGAATGGTCCAGGGAGTCGGGGGGAGGGCAGCAGAGGCAGGGGCTGAAAGCAGCAGTTTGGAACAGGCAGTAGCAGTGAATCAAGCAGAGTCTCTCAGCCCACAACTAAAACAAAGTCACCCAAAAACCTACAGGAAATATTGTAAGTAACTTTCTACCACGGGCTGGGGGACTTGAACAAAACTGTCTCCCAGGTTGGGTGCAGAGGCTCATGCCTGTCATCTCAGCACTATGGGAGGCCGAGGTGGGCGGGATCGCCTGAGGTCAGGAGTTTGAGACCAGCCTGGCCAACATGGTGAAACCCCATCTCTACTAAAAATACAAAAATTAGCCGGGCGTAGTGGCATATGCCTGTAATTCCAGCTACTCGGGAGGCGGAGACAGGAGAATTGCTTGAACACGGGAGGCAGAGGTTGCAGTGAGCCGAAATCGCACCACTGCACTCCAGCCTGAGCAACAGAGCGAGACTCCGTCTCAAAAACCACCACCACAACCACAACAACAACAACAACAAAACTGTCTCCCAGAATCTGAGGACATGGGGATATCTGGTTATAGTAACCCTCTTTTTTTCCCTTCTGTAGAACCCCATTGCAGTTTGCTCAGCTGCATCAGATAACAATTTCTACCAAAGTGCTTAACATTTTAGTGTCAGTATAGATTAGGGCTTCGTTAACCTCAGCCCTGTTAACATTTTGGGGTGAATAATTCTTTACTGCAGGGATAAAGGCTGGGCATTGTAGGATGTTTAACAGCAACAGCATCTCTAGCCTCTACCCACTAGATGCCAATAGCTTTAACACTCTAAGTTGGGAAAATCAAGAAGGTCTCCGGATACTGCTGAGTATCTCATGGAAGATAAAAATCTCTTCTCCTCCCCGTCATTGAAACCTATTGTGTAGATGTAGATCTTTATTTAGTGCGAACTCATATCCTGTGTTCTTGCATCAAAACATGCCTTTTTTAACCTTAAAAAAAAGCAACAGCACAAGTTTGTGTAAAAATGACTCCCAAACATTTCAAGTGTTTCTACTATCACACTAGGTTGTCCAACCTCCAAATTTCTGGGGAGTGGCTAGGAGTGATGCTGCAGCAAATTCCCAGTTTTTCAAGAATGTTTACACTGTATTTGTGTCATAAGAGTGCTTCAGTTTTCTATTGCCTATATCTACAGACATTGTAGTGGTATCACCATTAACAGAACACTGCAGTTTTGACCTTACATACACATAAAAATTGAGAGTTGGTTATACAAGCTTTCCCTATAAGCAAGAGTCCATTAGAAGTTTCATTATAAGTGAAGGGTATGTGTTAGGGTTGAGTACCCAGCTTTGATACACAGCAGGGCTTAAATGTAGTATGTGCACTACCATAGTCAGATCTATCAGGAAGGCTGCACGATGAGCCACATTCTCCACTGATGTCTTTTGGAGATACTCAAAATGGATGATATTCACACAAGCAGGCACACTGTCATAGGAAAACTCAGATTCAAACTTTGGTGAAACCCAGTATTTTCCAGGGAGGAAAGCAAGGCAATAACTTATAATCACAAAAACTATTATTATCTCCACCAGCCATGGTCTTTTAGTGCTACTGCACAGATATAACTGATGTGTGTGATTCCCCAGATAGCTTGCTGCAATTTGACCTATTCTTTCTGCTCAAAAAATGCACTTCAGGCCAGGCGCGGTGGCTCTCACCTGTAATCTAAGCACTTTCGGAGGCCGAGGCAGGTGGATCCCCTGAGATCAGGAGTTCAAGACCAGCCTGGCCAACATGGCAAATCCCCATCTCTACTGAACATACAAAAATCAGCCAGGCTTGGTGGTGCATGCCTGTAATCCCAGCTACCAGTTCTGAGGGGGAGCTGAGGCAAAAGTATCACTTGAACCTGGGAGGTGGAGGTTGCAGTGAGCCGAGATCGTGCCACTGCACTCCAGCCTGGGCAACAGAGCAAGACTCCATCTCAAAAAAAAAAAAAAATGCACTTCAATACAAGAAAATGAGAGACTCTTGACTTATGATTCTAAATTATCACCATCAAATATAATTCTTTTGTTAATGACGAATTCTTGTGTGAAACGTCTCACAACTGAATGCCATACAGTGGAATAGAACCTGTTTACTGGGAAGGGTGTAGGATTGGGATTCAGAGAGACTGTGTTCATTTCTGGATTGTAACTCACTACCTGTTGCTTAAGAAAGCAAGTCTATTTCCTCATCTGTGGAATGCATAAAATGACCCCTTTATCTCAGGCTTACTGAGAGAATTAAATCAGGTTTGAAACAGTATGCTGTAAATTGCCAGGCAAGTGTCAATCATTGTCATTGTCTCCCACAGCTGCCAGTTCCTTGCATGGGCCACCATGTCTGTAGCATAGCCCCATAGAGTGTCTAGATTTTTCCTGCTACAAGCCCACAGAAGAGCCTCCTCAGTGATGCAATACATACGTTAATTTCTTAAGGTTAAAAAATAATTTCTCTAAATTGAGGTGAGTTGATATACTTTTCCAACCCAAATATCAGGTCTACTTCAGCAGCTGCTAAAGGAAAGAAATTACCCCTGCTCCTATTTCTCTCTGCTCCTGCAGAGTAAAACAGCAGCTAAAAACCAAGATTCTCTGACACTATTTCCTTTCTCAGCATTATAGGCCAGTATCCTGGGATCTGACATTAACCATTAGGAATTTCTTCAGCAGCAGCAGACTGGGAAAAGCAACTGCCAGTACTAAAGGAATACATTAAAACTCTTTTAAAAAAAAAAGTCACGAAGATAGTTGGATATGCTGAGTTGACTCAGACTCTTCAATATAGAGCAGTCATCTTGATGGCAACATTCATCCTGACTACGCTAAACAGGTGACCTATTCTATCAGCGATGGTGTCCAGAGCCATTGAAACACAATGTACATCATTATGTCATATACGAGGGGAAAGTTGACTAAGGTTCCAAGATCCCAAGGGTTTTAATTAATAGGAAAATTTGATTCAATAATAGTCATTTAAAAAAATGGAAGGAAAACAAGGGGAGGGAGTGATAAGGGTGGGAAGCATAGACAGGAAGCTGTATAAAATGCCCTGAAGGCTTGAAGTTGGCACTACTATAAGTCAGGGCCAGATTAGCTAGGGGACTGAAATAGCCGCAGAGAAAGAGTCCAGGAGCTACCAACACAACCATTCTAATCATGTTCTTCTCTTATCAAGCAAACTCCACTTCCTTTCTTTATCATCTACTTTATAAGTGCTCACTAGTGGCTCCACTACCAGCTTCCCCTGCAGAACTGAGAGGCTCAACTATTCCTGTTGGGGTAAAAATGATGAGAAAAATATCTCAGGATATTTCTGACTCTCTTCTCTCCACCCCCATGAACATCTCCCACCCCCAGGGCCCCAATTCTGCTTTTCTTCACTTAAAAAACTTCAAGCCAGGCCAGGTGCAGCGGCTAATGCCTGTAATCCCAACATTTTGAGAGGTTCAGGTGGGCAGATCCCTTGGGCTCAGGAGTTCGAGACCAGCCTGGGCAACATGGCAAAACCCTGTCTCTACAAAAAATATAAAAAATGAACTGGGCATGGTGGTGTGCATCTGCAATCCCAGCTGGGGCTACCCAGGAGGCTGAGGCGGGAGGATCAACTGATCTTGAGAGGTCAAGGCTGCAGTGAACCGTGATTACACCACTGCATTACAGCTTGGGCGATGGAGTGAAACCCTGTCTCAGAAAAAATTTAAACCCTCAAATCATCCCTCTTCGGTGAAGCCTTCCTTGACCTCTCCAGCACTTACTAATTTTTATTTTTCTTAATACCTATGACTTGTACATAACACAGTAAATGGACACAGTAGACATATTTCTGTCTCATGTGTGCTGACCTTTTCTTCTCAAATAGATTATAAACACTTTGAGGACGGGACTCATTTTAAACTTCTTGAAATCATCTGCCAAATTCTGTGATTTGGTGATTAGCCCGGCTAGGATCAACTTAGGCCCTAGAGTATCTCTATAGTTGGGGAGAATGTAAAAAGCTTTAGAGGTACTAAAAACGCAAAAATGAAAAGCAGAGTATGAGTTTCTCAGCATGATAGCATCAAATCAGCCTTGCTACTGGACCTACACAAACCTTTTCTTTGATTCTAGTAGCCAGTCTTATTCCTGAAGATCAAGTCCCTAACAGCCTGTCCGTAGGTCCCTTTTCAGTGACTCTTGTTGATATCTCATTTGTTCTAGATTGTGCGCTTTCTCTTGCTAATCCTTTAAAAAAAAAAAAGAAACCCAAATCCTGCCTCTGAACCTCACCCTCGAAGGTGCAGTCCCTGCTACCCACTATCCTGAGCAGCCCCTTTGGATTTCATGACTGCCCAGACCTCTGTAGTGCGTGGGCTGTGCTCCACCCACCTGTAGTTAATCTCACACCCTACCTGGCACTGGCTGGCCAGTCTGCTTCTTTGGTCTGCCTCTTTCTGCCAAGATCTTCTGGAAACGCCTGCCTTGCTCCTGGGCTCCTGGCTGGTCCCCGCATCCTTTCCATTTTGCCATCAACTAAGCCATCATTCTCAGATTTAAGAAAAAGAATTCCCCTCAATATTAAAGACACAGCAGACACATACACGTGCAAATACCCATAGTCATAAGTTCCTTTATCATTGAGAAAATTTTTACTACCTTCCTAAATTTATATTCTCCCTTTTCAGGCATTTAGCATCATCTCTAGGTCTTCCAATGTTATGCTTGGAATTTTCTTTAAATAAAAGTGGCCCTTAGAGGTCATTTACTCCAACCTTCTTATTTTACTCCTGGTCTCTACTACCCTACCTTTACGCATCTATTTAGAAGCTAGTGGCACAGGATTTTTGCTAATGATGCCTTTATTGAGGGATTTTCTTTGTCTGTTAGTAAATTACCATGATGCTAGAAGATTTTACAGAAAGTCTCAACTTAGTAATCAGCTACCATCAAAATACATTTATCTATTATTAAGGTAAGACAATTTCCTTCTCAGCCCCAGAAGGGAGGCACATGCACACAAGTATGCACACACACACACACTCACAATGTGATCAGCCAGCTCTCTGTCTGGAAAAATCAAAATACCTCCCAGCTGGAATGACAGCATCATTTTATTAACGCTGAAATAGGAGGGTGATAAAGCAAGTCTCAGCAGGCATAGCAGAAATGCACTGCTTTTATGATTCATATTTCAAAAATGATGCCATGGGAGCAAAAATGCAAAGCAGAGCTTATTATATGCTAGCAAAAATGGAGTGAAGGGTAGTCACCTCAGCTGTGCCTTTTAAGCTCTAAAGGAAGCAACACCACTACCAATTTTCTCTCCTCACCCTGAGGTTGCAACAGACACTTGGATTTGTCTACAGCCATTACTTCATTGTTCTCTGTGCTGTGAGTGGGCTAAGAAAATGATGTTGTTTCCTGTGTGATGATCTTGCTAGAGCTTTGGAGGTACTAAGGAGAATTGCAAAGAAACAGAATCATTAGTACAGTCATCCTTCATCCCTAGTTGTGGGGGGTGGGGAGAAATTGCTTCCAGGACTCCAGGATACCAAAATCTGGGGGATGCTTAAGTCCCTAATATAAAATGATGTAGTACTTGTATGTAACCTATGCACATCCTCCCATAGTTTAAATCATCTTTAGATTACTTATAATATCTAATACAATGTAAATGCTATGTAAATATGTGTTACACTGTATTATTTTTATTTTTATTGTGTATTATTATTATTTTTTTAGTGTTTTTCACCCTCAGTTGGTTGAGTCTGTATATACAGAACCTGTGGATATGGAGGGCCAGCTATATTGTCCTCCGTAGCGCCACCTCTTGATGAGGGGCTGTTGTTGGCCCCTGCAATAGACTGAATGTCTGTCCTCCCCAGATTTATATGTTGAAACCTAATTCTCCTCATGATGGTATTTGGAGGTGAGACTTTTGGGAGGCGATGAGATGTAGCCCTCATGTATGGGATTAGCACCCTTTTAAAAGAGATCCCAGAGAGGTCCTTTGTCCCTTCTGCCATGTGAAGACAGCCATCTATGAACCAGGTAACAGGCTCTCACCAGACACAAAATCTGCTGGCACCTTGATTTTGGACTTCCAAGCCACCAGAACTGTGAGAAATACATTTCTGTGGTTTATGAGCCATTCAGTGTATAGTATTTTGTTATAGCAGCCCAGATGAACAACACAACTATGCTTTCCAAACCCAGAATCCACAGGGTATGTGTGCTGCTTCTCTCTCTGCTTTGCTTGGGGAGAAAGGAATATAAAGGACCCCTGGGAATCCCTTCCCCTGGAGGTTTCCAGCTGCCTGCTTTTGACTTTGACTTCTCTTCTCTCACATGCAAGTAAAGAAAACAATACTGGGTTAACATTTTCTAAGCTGTACAACCTTAGGACAGTGCCATTGGAAGGAAAATAGGCTAGAAATCAGAAAAGATGGGCTTGATTCCAAAGATTTCAGTCAGATCTTTGACGTCAAGATATCACAAACCCTCCTTCTTCAAAGTGCAGGCACTGTCTGTTGGCTCACATCATCCGTGAGCACTTAGAGTTCCTTGAGTAAGAAGTACTGCCTTCTATAAACATCTCTGCATCTGGAGACTTATTCCTGGACATTGCTAATGAGTCAGTGAAAAACCCCAAATGATCTATGTATCAATTCCTGTTTTACACTTTCAGTTTATACAATAAATGAGAAAAAGGGCTAAGCTCAATTTGCTGGAAGTTGACAGTCCATTTTTATTTTGAAATCATTGTTGGTAATTTCATACCAAAGGAGAGGCTTACAGCAAGAGAGTAGAAATGAAAGCAGAAATGAGAAAGCTTATATAGTCTCAATTTCGATGACTCTAAAAACATTGATCAATCAACAATGCAGCTCATCCAGGAAAACCAAAACACTTTGTGGTAGGCAGAATTCTAAGCCCCTAAGGTTTCCTGCCTCTGGGATCTGTGAGCCTTCTCCCACTTACTCAATCAAACAGCAACCTAGATTCTGCTGTGAAGGGATTTTGCAGATGTAATTAAGGTCCCAAGATAGGGAGATTGTCTGGGTGGGCTTGATCTAATAGCACGAGCCCTTTAACTCTGAGTCTGGAGGTCAAAGACAGAAAAAAATCAAAGAGGTTTGAAGCATGAGAAGAATTCAACAAAGGGGAGATTCTCTATTGCTGACTATGAAGATAAAAGGACCAAGTGGTAAGAAATGCGGCAGTTTCTAGGAACTGAGAGTGGCCCCCAGCTGACAGCCAGCCAGGAAACAGGGACCTCAGTCCCCCAACCGCAAGAAACTGAATCTGTGACAACCAGAATGAGCTTCCACAAGGCCCTTGAGCTCCAGATAAGAACACTGCCCAGCTGACATCTTGATTTAGCCCTGTGAGGAGATCAGTGGAGTCACACCCTTCCCAGTTCTGGGGGAAAACCTGTAAAGTAATGAATGGGGAGTTGTTTTAAGGGGATAAATTTATGATGATTTAGTATGCAGCATAGAACTAAAATCCACACTTCCTGAATGGTTTTAAAGCCTCTTAGCCTAACCCTAAGACCAAAACCCAACCTCCTTCAAAGAGAAACCTGCCAACCACTGTGAACCAAATCTATCAGACAAGTCTCTTGTGATTCAAATTATAACCCACGGCCCGACAGCATACATGTGGCCTAAGAAATGCAGCATCTCAGGTCCCATCTGGATCTACTGAATCAAAACCTTCATTTTAACAAATCGCCTGGTGACTTATATACACATTAAAGTGTGAGAAGCACCAGTTAGCATTTTAATGCAGAGCTGGAGATCTGGAATCAGCAAAACCCATGTTCCCAAGCTGGCTCTACAGTTTTACTAGCTATGCGGACTTAGACAAGTTACTTAACCTCTCTGAACTTCTATTAATCGGTAAAATGGAGCAGGTAATAGTACTGACTTTATAGAGTTGTGGTGAGGATTAAATGGGACAGTATGTAAAGTGCTTTAGCCCTGCATTTTGGCCTGTCGTTAGCCTGGCAAACAGTAAGGGCTTAATAAATTGTTGCTTATTATTGGATTGGGCAGTAATAGCATCAATTGAATGTAGAGGGAGCAGGTAAACTGTATCAGTTGGAAACTTGCAGGATCACTGTGGCTGGCATCCTCTGATTAAATATGTTGTCACGCAGCTCCTCAGAGACTGCAAAAGGTTGTGACCTTGGTTTTCTACCTAACACAAGGCTGGGTCAGCCATGCCATTCCATCCCAATGCCTGTAACCATCTGTGTATCCCCCGACCCTCTCCCTTGTCGGTATTTAACCTCACTGGGCTTGACCTCACTTAGCTAATGAGATCTGGCCAGAAACCATGGAGATGGTTGTCAGCAACTCGGGGCAGGTGGTATCCCTGAATACCAATGGCAGCTCAATCCACAGAAAAGATGAAGAGATGTGCCAGGGGCAAAACACAGCCTGTTGAACTGTTTTAACAGAAATCTAAGGTTCTTCTTATTTTTGTTGGAGGGAATGATGGCAATGGTGACAATGGTGTTGGCATTACTGAGTATAAGAATGAATGTATAAATCAACAGTGACAAATGAGTAATACATAAGCCAGAGAGCTTTTGTGATCAATTCTGCAGAGGCCCGTTCCCCCTCCTGGTGGTTTCTCTGTTCTTGGCAAAGACTCCTCTCACTTGCTTTATTTCTCAGCCTGAGCCACAGCAATCTCTATAGTTCAATATAAATAATGAGGGTGATATTGATAATAACAATAGCTCTCATTTATTGAGTGCTCCAAGTGCCAGGCACTCTTCATATATTATTTATACTCCTTATAACAACTCTTTGAGGTAGACATTATTATGTTCCTTTTTAGCCAAGGAAACAGAAGCCTCAGAGAGGTTAAGTGGCTTGCCCAAGTTTACACAGCAGATAAGATAGTCTTGGATTCAAACCTGAGTCTGTTTGACTCTGAAACCTGTGCTTTCTTCGCTTTATCTCCGCAATACAGCTGTCATCCTTGACTGGGCTCTTGGCCCTTTGCCTGGACACTGTATCTGGGCCTTCGATACTACTGCCCAGTCAGCTCCTGAGCTGCCTTGCTCCTGTCCTTCCAGGTTTGCACCGCTTTGGCTTCTGTCTTTGCTCAGATGCTCACCTGTCTGGCCCCTGGAAACATATGGCGCTCACCTATTTCTTGTCGGTCCACATGGTTCTGCCCGTGGGTTTTCTAATCTCACTGCTCATAAGCAAGCTTGCTGGGCCTGACTCATGAAGGAGTGGCTTGATGCTCCCAGACTCTGGGTAACTGTCCCTCATTCTAGACCCTCCTGCCTCATAAGTAGAGTCTCCCCTATCATCCAGCCTGGCTCACCATTGCAGAAGAATGTTTCCTGCCTGTGTCAGAGAAACCAGCCACCTGGGTTCTTCTATCTGCTCCTGCTGTGCTCTGTCTTGAATACTCTTCCTTTCTTTCAAAACCACATTCTATTGCTCAGCTCATACCTGACTCAAAACCCAACCTACTGCCCACAGACTAAGATCTCGACCTGGAATTATATCCTATTACTATCTGGCCTCACTGACCCTTTCAAGTTCCAACCTTATTTTCCAGCCAATTGTTTCCCATCCTTTCTCTGTGATTTTCTGCTCGGCCTTTTCTCCTGCTCTTCTCTGCCAGGAATGCTCATTTCCTCTGTGCTAGTTCAGGATCATCCAAGATCTAGCATAAAATCCATCTTCTTTACAAAAAATGGCCCTAACCTTCCCAGCTGGAAATGGTCTCTTCCTTTCATTGATCTACTGTGGCACTGTATCTAGTGACACCTAACAGTTTTCTACATTTTGCCGTAGTTAATTGTATACATATTTTTTCTCCCCTTTTACACTATAAGGTCTCTGAGAACAGAGAGCATCTGATTTTTTTTTTCTTTTTTCTTTTTTGAGACAGAGTGTCACTCTGTCGCCAGGCTGGAGTGCAGTGGCACAATCTCGGCTCACTGCCTCCTGGGTTCAAGCAATTCTCCTGCCCCAGCCTCCCGAATAGCTGGGACTACAGGTGCACGGCACCAAGCCCAGCTAATTTTTGTATTTTTAGTAGAGACGGGGTTTCACCATATTGGTCAGGCTTGTCTCGAGCTCCTGACCTCAGGTGATCCACCCACCTCGGCCTCCCAAAGTGGTGGGATTATAAGCGTGAGCCACCGCGCCCGGCCTATTTTTTCCTTTTTGATGGCCTTACAGTGCCTAGCAAAATGCCTTGCTCAGAGTAAGTGCTTGATATAAATTTATTAATCCATCAGCTGGATGGATGGATGGATGGATGGATGGATGGATGGATAGATGGATGGATGAATGGATGGATGGGAAGGAGGTTATAGGAATTGAGACTCTGGCTGAGCTTTTTTAGCCAGGTAGCCATGGCAGGAGAAAGGCTTCACCTTTCATGAGAGCGTATGGTCATAATCACAGAAGGGAAAGAATAGCTTGAACCATAGCTTGAACCAGTTAACCATGCTGCCAATAAAATCAGGCCACATGTGTTTACCATGTTTTATGTTTACCAGGCTGCATCAGTAGGATACTTTAAAATATGGGACAGAAATCCTGACTCAACCTCAAACTAGCTTTTATCATAAAGAAATGTATTGGCTCCAATGCAGGATGTCAAAGGCTGGGTAGGATTCAGGACTGGTGGATCCAGTGGCTCTTTGCATCTCTCTGCTGTGCTATCCCCAATGCTGACTTCATTCTGGGGAAAGATCCCTGGGTTTTGGAAGGCTTCCAGTAGTTGCTGGGTTAATTGCTTCCCTTTTCACCTCCTACTAACTTCCTGTGACTCTTTCTTAAGGGTAAGAAAGCATATTTTCCGGAAGTGTTTAGAAAACTCTTTATGACTCATTGGTCCCAATTGGCCTTGGCCTGCCTACCCCAGACCCATTCACTAGCAACGGGGATGGGGGTGGGGTTCACATCACTCAGGACCCACCCTAGAGCTGCAGTAGAACCTGTGATGGAGAGTCACTCCAACACCCCTTACACAGCAGACAGTTTTATGGGGGCCACTCCAATGAAAGGTTGGCTCTTAGGACCTTCTCATTTTAGACACGCAGTAAACAATGAAAAACATGTCATCCAAGAGATCTCATTGTCACGGATCTTACAATATATCTCTTGCCTAAGAGTCTTCCGGTGTTTCTTGTGCAAATCCAGCGGTTAGTCAACAGGGTTTATGGAACACATGCTGTTTAGATAGTGTTACTCTAAGCACTGTACAAAGTTAGAAAAACAAGACAATGCAGCTACTTAAAAAAAATTTTTTTTAGAGACAAGGTCTTGCTCTGTTGCCCAGGTTAGCTTCAAACTCCTGGGCTCAAGCAATCCTCCTACATCAGCCTCCTTAGTCACTGGGATTATAGGCGTGTGCTGCACTGCCTGGCTTATTTTTTTTTTAACAGTAGAATGAGCATTGAGGAAAGTAGTTCTCTTCTGTTAATTCTGCTCCGTTATTTTCCAGAGTGTAGAAACTGCTTGATTTCCTTCCTCCTTTCTTTGTCCCCTCTTATTCAGCTCTCTCTTTCCTGTCACTAATTTTCTCCTTTCTTATTCTTTCCTCATTTCAGGAAAGCAACATAGCGGAGATTAGGAGTGTAGAATCTGGAGTTAGATTTCTTGGGTGGGAATTCTCACTTTGAGTTCTAGCTGTGACTTTCCAGCCGTTACTTCATTTCTCTAAGCTTCTTTTCACTGGTAAATCATGTCTAAACATTATGCCTACCTCCTTGGGTTATTCTCGAATTTTAAAAATGATGCACATTAAAAATGATTACTAATGGTTAATGATTTTAATTTTCTTCTTCATCTTTTTTTAATTATGCCACATTTTGTGTCCTGTTCCTCCCTCCTACATCCCACAGTGATAGGCTGATAGAAAATAGTCAGAAATAGAGTGCACAGAATCAACTTCCTAGTGAGAAATGGAATGGAACCATTTCAGTTCCTTCTCTTTTCTTCATTATACTTCGAGTATTTAAAGAGTGCTATGTGAATACATTTAAGGCAATGGAAATGTACAAAACCAGTTGAGAGGAACACATATGTGGTACATATGGAAGCGGAAGTATGAATGCTCTGTTCTGCATAAGAATCCCCCAGCTCTCAGTTGCTTCATCGAGGCCTGGTTTGTTCAATTGGTTAGAGCACCTTCTGATGTAACCAAGATCACGGTTTCAATTCCAGAATGTGGTGAGCCTACTTTATCTATTTGATGGCTACAGCCTCCTCTGCTGAACCTGGCAACCATCTGTAAATGCATCCATTGTTTAGAAAATGATCAATCAGAGGAGCCCGGTTGAAGCAATGCAAATCAATCACCTTACTAGGAAACAACACGACAACAGAAAGTACATGCTATCATGGTGGTGGGTTAACTGTATGATGTTTGTACATGAAGAAGGCATAGACCATGACATCATTATAGAGTTCATGGAAAACAAATAGGTTTGAAGCTATAGGTTCCACAGCAATTCACAGCCTATAAAAAAGATTACTGCTACGTCCCTTGTTTTTAAGGCCCCCAGCTCTTCTTAGAGACCATTTAGAGAATAACTGCCTGTTCCTCTAGACTAGACTCAATTGCTAGAAGTATCTCATATGGGAAGACTTTCCTGACATCTTGTTCTCCTCTTCTCAACTTAATTTCTCTCCAACCTCCACCCCTTCTAGAATTATGTGCTCTCTTTACTATGCTCCTTTTATGTCACATAATGATGGTTACTATCTAAGTCAGCTTAGGCTGCCATAGCATAACATGTTATGGCACTGGGTGACATAATACCCAGTCTATGTTATGGATTGGGTGGCTTAAACAACAAAAATTTATTTTCTGACATGTCTGGAGGCTGGAAGTATGAGTATCAAGGTCCCAGCACGGTCAGGTTCCTGTAAGGACTCTCTCCTTGGCTTGTAGATGGCTGCCTTCCCTCTGTGTCCTCACATGGTGGAGAGAGAGAGAGAGAGAGAGAGAGAGAGAGAGAGGGAGAGAGAGAGAGAGAGAGAGAGAGAGAGACTGCAAGCTGTCTGCTATCTCCTCTCATAAGGGTACTAATCCCATTATGAGGACTAATATGGTTTGGATGTTTGTGCCATCCCAATCTCTTGTTGAAATGTGATTCTCAGTGTTGGATGTGGGGCCTGGTGGGAGGTGATTGGATCATGGGGGTGGATCCCTCATGAATGGCTTAGCACCATCCCCTTGATGATAAGTAAGCTCTTGCTCTGAGTTCATGTGATATCTGGTCATTTAAAAGTGGATGGAGGCTAGGTGCGGTGGCTCACACCTATAATCCCAGCACTTTGGGAGGCCGAGGCAGGCAGATCACAAGGTCAGGAGTTCAAGACCAGCCTGGCCAATATGATGAAACCCCGTCTCTACTAAAAATACAAAAATTAGCCAGGGATGGTGGCGGGTGCCTGTAGTCCCAGCTACTCAGGAGGCTGAGACAGGAGAATCACTTGAACCGGGGAGGCAGAGCTTGCAGTGAGCTGAGATCGCGCCACTGTACTCCAGCCTGGGTGACAGAGCGAGACTCCATCTCAAAATGATAATAATAACAATAATAATAAGTGAAAGTGTATGGCACTGTCCTCCTCTCTCTTGCTCCCACTCCCACCATGTGATGTGCCGGCTCCTCTTCCTTTCTGCCATGATTTTAACTTCCTGAGGCCCTCACCAGAAGCAAATGCCAGCTCCATGCTTCCTATACAGCCTGCGGAATGGTAAGCCAAATAAGCCAAATACCCCTCTTTTCTTTATAAATTATCCACAACTTCATGTATTTCTTTATGGCCACACAAGAATGGCCTCGTACAAGAACCTATCTGGTAACCTCATCTAAACCTAATTCCTTCCCAGAGGCCCCATCTCCAAATACTATCGCATTGTGGGCTTGGGTTTCAATGTATGAATTTGGGGGGACACAATTCAGTACATAACAGTTACAATTCTTTTTGCAGCAATGCATGTTACTTTGATATGAGTGATATCCATGTAACACGGAAGACACACTGATGCATACATGATTTTCCTAGCAACTTAATATCAGGGTAAGCTTTTCTACATTTGCAGAAAAAGCCTTAGCCATATATGAATACCTTCAGAACAGACTGAAATTGATAGTGCAAGTTCTGCTTGGTTTAATGGCTTTGAGTATTGCTGCCCTTTCCACCAGTTAAACTATTCGGGGAAACTAAGAGTATAATGATGGAGTTGTGAAAACATTTCCCTCTATAGATACATTGAACAAAAGAAAGAGGCTACGCCATGGATCATTCAAAAATTTTTGAAGAAAATTATCTAGATGCTGTTAAATGAAGTTTGGCCTAAAGCTGCCTCTGTATATATTTTAAGTCTGGCCTAAAGGTTTCTCCATACACAGTGAACTGTAACCTAATTTGATGCATAAACAGACTGGTAACTGAGTCTCAGCCAATCACAGCAGCCAAATTTCAGTTAACCACAGGCAGCCAACTGTTCAAACCAGGTTCAAATAAGGCAAAGGCCCCAGCTGTAGCCAATCCAGCCGTTTCTGTACCTCCCTTATGCTTTCTACAGGTCAATTTCCTTTTTCTGTCCATAAATGTTACCTAATAAATGTGGCATAAATGTGGCAGCCCTGGAGTCACTCTGAGTCTGTTTGTGTTTTGGGGACTGTTGGATTCAAGAATCTTTCTTTACTCAATTAAACTGTGTTAAATTTAATTTGCCTAAAGCTTTTCTTTTAACCAATGGCATCAGAAGCAGGATCCAAAGTAGAAAATTAGCTGGGTGTGGGAGCACGTGTCTGTAGTCCTAGCTACTAGGGAGGCTGAGGTGGGAGGATCACCTGAGCCCAGGAGTTCGAGGCTATAGTGAGCCGTGATTACACCACTGCACTCCAGCCTGGGCAACAGAATGAGACCCTGTCTCAAAACAAGAAATAAACAAACAAAAAAACCCCAAAAATGCCCACAAAGTAGAGCTTCTAATGACCCCCAGGAGGATGGAGCGACCAAGCAAGGTGCCTGCTGGGCCCACTGTGTCCACTGCTCTCTTGCAGCAACTGGGGATCCTGGACAAATTCGCTCTTAGATTCTGAAGTGCCACAAATTTGTGTTTTGAGCTATCTGAGTTTGAGCAAATTTTTTAACTGGATTCGGTTCAGAAGTCACAACAAAAACTGGACTCAGTCCAGAAGTCACAACAAAAACTGGACTCGGTCCAGGATCGAATCAGATTCGATAATTAAGTGGATTGGATCAAGTTAGAGGCCTCAGCTGTCTCGCTGGGTCAGGCGGAAACGGGTGGTAAATGGCAATTAGTGCAGGGGGTGCGAACTCCAGCTTTTGGGAATTTGCAGAGATTTTGTGTTCTATCTCCTTTGTTCCTTTTTCTTACACACTTGGGTAGGGAAAAATCATTGGCTGACTTGGCCAAGAGGATCTTAGAGCCAAAGCCAGGAATCAACATAAAAATGAGATCCTTAATTTTTGAAGAACTGAGTCCTCCACTTTCCCAGTATGCCTGCCTTTATGTATAGTATATAAGTATTAGGCACCGGAAGCAGCAAATGCTTACAAAAATGGAGAAATCTTACTAAAGATGATTTAAAATTATGGTGGAACATTCAAATGAACAACATTGTACTTTAAGAAGTGCATTTAAAAATGGGGGCTCCTGAATTAGGTTCACCAGGGATGCCTATTGATGTGCAGAAGCTTCTAAAAAAAATTTCAAAATTTGTATTGCCTCTTTTTTTAAAATTTTTTTATTTTTTTTATTTTTTTTGAGACAGAGTCTCCCTCTGTTGCCCAGGCCGGAGCGCAGTGGCGCCATCTCGGCTCACTGCAAGCTCCGCCTCCCGGGTTCACGCCATTCTCCTGCCTCAGCCTCCCGAGTAGCTGGGACTACAGGCGCCTGCCACCACGCCCGGCTAATTTTTTGTATTTTTGGTAGAGACGGGGTTTCTTCACCGTGTTAGCCAGAATGGTCTTGATCTCCTGACCTCGTGATCTGCCCGCCTCGGCCTCCCAAAGTGCTGGGATTACAGGCGTGAGCCACCGCGCCGGCCTTATTGCCTCTTTTAAAGGCTCTTTACAAAAGACAAATAAAGATTTTAAATGACTAATTGATAAGGGAAATAGAATCTGCTAACATTTTGGCTTAGTTACTATCCTGCCCCAAGGTGGAAAGAAAGCCGAATAAAGTGCTTATAAAAGGTAGGCCCTCAGGTAAAGTAGGCTTGTTTCTCTTTTTCAAAGCTATCCATGCTGAGTCCAGGCATAGAGAACGCTTTCTCTGTCCTCTTCATTAATGGGCTCCACTATATTTATTTATTTATTTTTTATTTTTATTTATTATTATTATTATACTTTAAGTTCTAGGGTACATGTGCACAATGTGCAGGTTTGTTACATATGTATACATGTGCCATGTTGGTGTGCTGCACCCATTAACTTGTCATTTACATTAGGTATATCTCCTAATGCTATCCCTCCCCCCTACCCCCACGCCACAACAGGCCCCGGTGTGTGATGTTCCCCTTCCTGTGTCCAAGTGTTCTCATTGTTCAATTCCCACCTATGAGTGAGAACATGTGGTGTTTGTTTTTTTTGTCCTTGCGATAGTTTGCTGAGAATGATGGTTTCCAGCTTCATCCATGTCCCTACAAAGGACATGAACTCATCCTTTTTTATGGCTGCATAGTATTCCATGGTGTACATGTGCCACATTTTCTTAATCCAGTCTATCATTGATGGACATTTGGATTGGTTCCAAGTCTTTGCTATTGTAAATAGTGCTGCAATAAACATACGTGTGTATGTGTCTTTATAGCAGCATGATTTATAATCCTTTGGGTATATACCCAGTAATGGGATGGCTGGGTCAAATGGTATTTCTAGTTCTAGATCCTTGAGGAATCGCCACACTGTCTTCCACAATGGTTGAACTAGTTTACAGTCCCACCAACAGTGTAAAAGTGTTCCTATTTCTCCACATCCTCTCCAGCACCTGTTGTTTCCTGACTTTTTAATGATTGCCATTCTAACTGGTGTGAGCTCCACTTTAAACTCAGTAATTTAGCTAAGAAACAGAAGCTAGGCCAGGCGCCGTGGCTCATGCCTGTAATCCCAGCACTTTGGGAGGCCGAGGTGGGCAAATCACGAGGTCAGGAGATGGAGACCATTCTGGCCAACATGGTGAAACTCTGTCTCTACTAAAATACAAAAAAATTTGCCCGGCATGGTGGCATGTGCCTGTAGTCCCAGCTACTTGGGAGGCTGAGGCAGGGAAATTGCTTGAACCCAGGAGGCAGAGGTTGCACTGAGCCGAGATCGCACCACTGCACTCCAGCCTGGCAACAGAGCAAGACTCTGTCTCAAAAAAAGAGAAAAGAAACAGAAGCTAAGTTAAAAAGACTACCTATTGAACTAAATCAGTCTTTGCAATATACCTTTCTGGCATTTAGCTGGCTATTTTGAAACGCTTTTATTAAAGAAAATTACATCTGTGAAAGAAATCTCTATTTGTAAGGGTGTCTACCTCTGTGCAACACAAAGAGACAGAGGGCTAAGCCCCTGGAAACTCTTTAAATTGAAAAGGCATTGATTTAAATTTATATAACAAGCCTTATCATTTAAGATGCTTTTCCTGGTCATCTTGTCTTAACTGGACCTTTACCTATACCCTCCTTCCTTGGTTTGGGCAAATGGTGGTATTTAGGCCTGAAGTAGGAAATGGTTTGGGGGAAAGATGAATGGGCCCTTAGAAAAATTAATCATGGTTTGTGTGACAAGGTCTGTCTTGGTGTGATGAAACCTTCTCTCCTGTGATAATAGTTAATCTTCCCTGGTTTCTGGAACTTCCTAGGGGAGAGTGTCAGAGGCATTTGAACCAGAGCAACTCCATCTGAATAGGGGCTGGGTAAAATGAGGTCTTGAATAGGGGCTGGGTAAAATGAGGCTGAAACCTACTGGGCTGCATTCCCAGACAGTTAAGGCATTCTAAGTCACAGGATGAGATAGGAGGTCGGCACAAGGTACAACTCATAAAGATCTTGCTGATAAAACAGGTTACAGTAAAGAAGCCGGCCAAAACCCACCAAAATCGAGATGGTGATGAGAGTGACGTCTGGTTGTCCTCACTGCTACACTCCCACCAGCGCCATGACGGTTTAAAAATGCCATGGCAACATCAGGAAGTTACCCTATATGGTCTAAAAAGGGGAGGCATGAATAATCCACCCCTTGTTTAGCATATAAACAAGAAATAACCATAAAACCATGCATTTCTATGGAATAGCCATTCTTTTGTTCCTTTGTTTCCCTAATAAACTTGCTTTCACCTTATTGACTTGCCCTGAATTCTTTCTTGCACGAGATCCAAGAACCCTCTTTTGGGGTCTGGATCAGGACCCCTTTCCTGTAACAACAGGATTGATGGCATTTGGATTCCTTTGGAAAATCTGTCTTTAGACAAACAAGGAGAATTTTTAAAGCCTTGCTCTGAGTACCTGTTAGCAGCAATAGTATACAAAAGCAACATATTTTGGGGTCATATCTTCCGAACTTCTGAAACCGCCTTTGCCAAAATCATACCTGAGGAAATTATGACAGTGAAAGAGATCAGACCTAACTGACTCCATCTTGCTTTCAACCTTTAAGTTGTCCTTGTTCATTCCTGGGCGTAGGCTGAACTAACCTTCAGAAGGAATTTAGTTTATAGTTTAACTCTGAAACAAAATTGATAATAGCCCTTTTCCAAAAAAAAAAAAAAAAAAACCCTTCTTGTCTGGGGACCGGTCTGCCTTTATAGGACTAACAAATTAGCTACAAGATTAGAAATTGTGGTTTAGTGACCACACAGCCTCCAGCTGCAAGATTCTTAACCTCCCAAAATTGCTCCTGGGGAAAATATAACTATTGGAAAACCTAAGATCAATGCTTGAGATATTTTGCAGACCCTGCACTCCATGGATCAACTGACTCCACCCAGACTGGTAATCTGGTTCCACCAATTCTATGATCCCATCCAGGAACAGAAGACAACAAGCAAGAAAACTCACTTGACTCCTCTATGATTCCATCTCCAACCTGACCAATCAGCACTCCCTACTTCCCGAGCCCCTACCCGCCAAATTATTTTTAAAAACTCTGATTCCCAAATGCTCGAGGAGACTGATTTGAGTAATAATAAAACTCCATCTCCCGCACAGCCGGCTCTACATGAATTACTCTTTCTCCATTCTAATTCCCCTGTCTTGATAAATTAGCTCTGTCTAGGCAGCTGGCAATGTGAACCTGTTGAGCAGTTATACTTCTTCAATGGCTAGTTTTGTTTAATAAGTAATTCAAGCATAATTGTAAAGAATGAGTAAATAAGGTGAATGTAAATGGCATCAAAATTTATAAATAAATTTATCATAGTTTCCAAAATCTTTTTCAGCAACTTCAAATTTTAAAATCATGTTAAATTAAGTAATTGAAAATTACTTTATTTTCAATTCATTTTAAATTCAATAAAATACTGAAACATTAATTATTAAGCATAGCTTTAGTTTATATACTTCAACATCTTGTTTTTAATACAGTATATAGAAGTTAAATATATTTGGATCTATTAAGAAACATAAAAATCTGGCTGGGCGTGGTGGCTCATGCCTGTAATCCCAGCACTTTGGGAGGCCAAGGCGGGCAGATCACCTGAGGTCAGGAGTTTGAGACCAACCTGGCCAACATGGCGAAACGCCATCTCTACTAAAAATACAAAAATTAGGCGGGCATGGTGGTGTGCGCCTGCAATTCCAGCTACTTGGGAGGCGGAGACAGGAGAATTGCTTGAACCCAGGAGGCAGAAGTTGCAGTGAGCTGAGATCATGCCACCGCACTCCAGCCTGGATGACAGAGCAAGACTCTATCTCAAAATAAATAAATGGATAAATAAATAAGAAGAAACATAAAAAATTGAGGAAACATTTCTTTCTAAAAATTAGGAAATGGCTTTCATCTACAAATACTGATATAAAACAGTTTAAAATGGATTACTTCCTTGATTGTTCACTGGAAATTAATGTTACTAAGAGTTAAAATTATGATTAATGTATATAATTAAAATATGGTACATATATGTTTACTATATGTGAAATGGGTGGAGTTCCCTTATCACCTTCACAGGGTATGTGACAGGGGTGTGGCTTGCCTCTTCAGGGCCCTACTTCTCAAACCCTAGGGGAGCATGCAGACGGGTGGGTCATGGAGAGCATTTTTGGGCTCTGACCCACAGCAGAGTCTAGGGTTGAGGGTTTGCAGCTCCCGAAGCCCCAGCGGGAGTGTGTTACAGTATATTCTTTCAGCTTTGCCATCTGCTGGTGGCTTGTGTTAATCAGCTCAATTAGACCCTTTGCCCTATCACAAGGACAAAGGGTTTCTGTAGCCTGGGTTCTTGCTCTAGTGTACTGGAAAAATCGGATCACATGTGGACTTGGAGAATGAGTGCAAGGTTTTATTGAGTGGTGGAAGTAGCTCTCAGTGAGATGGATGGGGAGCAAGAAAAAGGATGGAGTGGGAAAGTGGTCTTCCCTGGACTTGGGCCATCCAGCAGCTAGACTTTCCTCCAACCACCCTGGCCGAATTCCTCTTGGTGTCATGTCGTTCTGCCTTCAATGGCCTGCTGGTGTCTGCTGGTGTCTGTCTTCTGCTTCTCTCAATGTCCAGCTGCTTGTGTGTGTGCCCGCTGGGGTCTCAGGTTTTTATGGGCACAGGATGTGGGGGGTGTGGTGGCCCAAAAGGCAACATTTTGGGTGTGAAAACAGAAACATCTGTCCTCATTTAGGTCCGTGGGCACAGGCTCGAGGATGGAGCCCTCATCAGGGACCCCCCCCTTCTCTACCCAGCACTTCCCTGCCCCCCTTCCCATAGCATATGCCTATATACAATACATATTATATATAACATACATAATATATACATATAGTACATATGGGTACTATATGTATGTGCTATACAGAATATATAGTACATTTATAGTATATATATGGACAGAAATATACTATACATATAATATAGCATGTATGTAGTGTAGTATGAACTATACTGAATATATGTACTATACATATATTCTATAGTACATATATTCTGTATTGTACATATATATGTATTGCATGTATGTACTATACAGAATTATTTCTTTTGTTTTTAGTTACATATATGTAATATGTACTACTGATGAAGGCAGGAGACAAATTCCTAGGCAGATAGGGAAGAGTCCCTAGGCTAAAACCTCACTTTCAAGCCTAAAATAGCCTGAAGGCTGAAAGACTGGAGTGCTGGTCTAGGATGAAACCTGTGACCCAGAGGGAGAACTTCTGCCCCTGTTTGCCCACGCTTTCCCAATTGATTCTTTCTGAATAATGCCTTTTAACCCATTGAATGCTGCCTTTTCTGATACTACCTATGGCTTGCCTGGGCATGCCTACGTGTGCACTGGGGGACTGGGGGGCCACAAGCAATTCATGCCTTATTCAGGGGAGGAGCCTGGCCTCATAAGCTCATGTGCGGTGGCCCTGGTTTTCAATTGTGAGGGAGAAACCTGCTTGGAGATCCCCTCTCTTTGCTGAGAGCTTTCCTTTCACTTAATAAATTCTTCCCTCCTCACCCTTCAATATGACCACGTGCCTAATTTTTCCTGGTCATGAGACAAGAACTCTGATTTAGCTGAACTAGGGAGCAAAAATTCTGCATCATTTTGGCCTATACGGGGGTTTGTCAGAAGGGTGAGTAAAACGCTGCCCCAAAAATATCTTTCACTTTCGTTTCTGAGCTTTCTCATCTTCAGACTTCTTCTGAAGGCAGGGAAAACTGCCCCCTCCCTGTCACTTTCAGGGGTTGGGAATGTCAGCCTTGGTCCAATACAGTCTTTTCTGTGGCATTTTCCTTCTTTTTTTCAGAATTAAAATAGCACCTATCTTTTCTTTTATAATATTGGGGGTGTTCCACCCCCACTCCAATGGCCACAGGCATGTTCTTGTGACAGACAGGCGAGCAGCAGCTCCCCACCACCTCTTTCCCTCCTAGCTGGGGCACGTGGCCATGTCTGCTGCATACACATGCTGTGTTCAGTGGCCATGCAGTGCAGGACTGAGCCACAGCCACTTCCCAGGCCCCAGGGCAGTCTTGGGGGCCCAAGGCCCTTCATGGCTAGCTGGCCATGTTTCCCACCACGTGCCCACGGAGTCTTCCCCTCCCCCAGCTGAGGGGTCCAGCTTGTTCTGAGCCTGAGGGAAGAAACAGGAATTAAAAATTTCTTTCCCTGTTGGAGAAACTCATTTGCATCAGAATAAGAGGTTTCTTCCTCAACAATCTTCTCCAGCTCTACCCTTAAGCTGTTCTTTTTCCTTTTCTCCATCAGGTCGGGAGTTAATGGGTTGGTTTGAAGGTAGTTGAGGTTTTTGCCATTACTTAGCATGGCGGTGACCACAATTGCTTTTGCACCAACCTAATAACACAGCCGTGCAATACAGGGGGCTTCTCCATGCCAGAGTTTTTTTTTTTCTTGAAAGGCGTTTTAATAGGCCAGGACCCCAATTCACAAGACACTCTTTTCTATCCCTTGTTGGAGGAGGACCCAATTCCACAGCTTCACCCATGACTTAATGAATCCATGAACCCCACTGAGACACATTCTTGTCCCAAACTCAATTCCAAACTTTGGGTTGAAACTCTAGGAAAGAAAACTGGATCTGAGGCAGATGACAATGGAAGTTAAGAGACATAGCACAGGTAAGCATGACTAATTCCTGCCAATTAAGCCAAGCCTCCCATTTCATGGATAGTGGTCATGCTAGTATCTATGGCATGCATGAGGTCTAGGGAACTTGAAAGCTACTGACAGCAAGGGGAAAGGCAGTGTGTGGGTAAGGGTGGATAATCCTACCCTCTAACCCACCTGTTAACATGGGTGAAAAGGCACATTGACACCCATGGGCAGCACCCTGTCATTGTCTTCAGGACTCCGGGATACAAGGAAAGAAGGAAGAAAAGGGATGCCTCTCTTGCCTCTCCCTCACATACCCTGGGTATTTGCTGGGAAGAGAAGGGAACTAGGCATGCCTTGCTCCCCTCTTTCTAGATGAGTAGCCATTCATCTTCAGTCTTTACCCCTTTCAAAAGTACATCCTGAACCCTTGGGACTCCTTTGAAAAAAAATGCCTTTTTTATTACCTTTTTCCACCTCTGTCCTCTCTTCACAGATGGGTAATTGTGTCCCTGTGCTACAGCACACTCCCCTTGGATGCATCCTCCAAACTGGGAAAAATTAATATCCCCTACCTTAAACTGGTTGCCTTAGAATTGAACTCAGAGGAAGGGAACCTAGAAGGATGACATGCTGGAAAAAGGGCAAAAGTTTCATCATTCAGATGTTGGCCTCTCTCTACCTGTACAAACTGGTAAAAGGAATGATAAGGATCACTGTTTATATTCTCTGTAAAGTTTTGATTAATGAAAAAGGATTTGTGAAGTTAGTCTTAAGCTGTAGCCAATCTGATGTGATTTGCATGTCTTTCTGTGTGATTCTGTCAGGAAGAGGGGTACCATATGATAGGATGTAGGCCTAGGACCCCATAAGCCTGCTGTTCAAGTCAGCCTGGCAAACTGGTCAGTAACAAACTTTGCTGCAGGCCTCCATCTTGTTTTACATCCTTGGGAGTGTGACCTGTAACCACGTGGCAGTACTTTCTTTTAGTCTCCGCCATTTTACAATGGCAACCTGGGTTCAATCCTGGCTTGAGAAATGAGTACTTTTGGGTTGATATCTGTGTGTAACTTTTGCCATTTGCTGATTCTCTTCCTTTCCATGAACAACTTCCAGCTTCCTTTCTTAAATCTTTCTTTCTCTGAATTACCTTTAAAGGTCCTAGATTTTGTAAAAACTGCTTACTACCCCTTCGAAAATACTTCATACATTTGTGGTTAAGTCATAACCTTAATTGAAGCTTGTTGGTTTCACCTGTGAGTTACTTTTGGTAAAGTTCAAATGCCAAAAATATTGGCAGCTTGGCACGGCTAAAGTCAGCTTACAAGGAATTTAAAAGGACTTTCTTTTTATTTTTTTTCTTTTTCTTTTTCTTTTTTTTTTTTTTTTGAGACAGAGTCTCGCTCTGTTGCCCAGGTTGGAGTGCAGTGGTGCAATCTCTGCTCACTGCAAGCTCTGCCTCCCAGGTTCACGCCATTCTCCTGCCTCAGCCTCCCGAGCAGCTGGGACTACAGGTGCCTGCCACTGCGCCCGGCTAATTTTGTTTTGTATTTTTAATAGAGACAGGGTTTCACCGTGTTAGCCAGGATGGTCTCGATCTCCTGACCTCGTGATCCACCTGCCTCGGCCTCCCAAAGTGTTGGGATTACAGGCATGAGCCACTGCGCCTGGCCAAGGACTTTCTTAAGGAATGCTCTACTTAATTAAAAGTGGATATCCAAGTTATAGGTATATTTAAAAGACCTTTATGTTCTCTCTTCTTGGATCTTGTTTTGCTGGAAAAAGATTTTTTTCTCAGTCGACTGAATTACTGTTCTCCCCATGTCTTGCAATTCTTAATGCATGCATGAGAGGCCCTAAGATAACTTCTGATGACCTGAGACTCCTTGAGAAAAACAGAAAAAGTGCCACAGATTCCATTTTGGGAGAAACATCTCTTTCCTTTATGGAACCCCAAGAATTAGAAATGGATCAATCTGTATCAAAATTTATTTTTTGTCTTCCAGCTATACCTCTGTATTGGGCCCTGTTTCTTAAAAGTCTCCACCCTGAGACCAATAATCCAATTAAAAAACTGGCAAATGAAAAATCTTACAAATACTGGATCTTCTTTTGTCTGTCTGTGTAGTTATATATGTATTATGTGTGTGATGTTTATATAAAAAAGCTCTAATTAATTGGACCAAAGAAAAAATAAGCACTTAGATTGAATATTTTTGAAGGAAAATTAAAAGCTATAATATTTTTTAGTTCATGTGAGTTTAATCTTTGAGAAATAAAAACAGTAAGTATTATTGGTAAAAAAATGCAAATATTGTTTGTTTTTTTGTTTTTTTTTAAGATGGAGTCTCTCTTTGTCTCCAGGCTGGAATGCAGTGGCACAATCTTGGCTCACTGAAACCTCCGCCTCCCAAGTTCAAGGGATTCCCTGCCTCAGCCTCCCAAGTATCTGGGACTATAGGCACACTGCCACCATGCCCAGCTAATTTTTTGTATTTTAGTAGAGATGAGGTTTCACCATGTTGGCCAGGATGGTCTCAATCTCCTGACCTCGTGATCCACCCACCTCGGCCTCCCAAAGTGCTGGGATTACAGGCATGAGCCACCGCACCTGGCCAAAAATGCAAATATTGTTAAAATGTAAATAGGTGGTCTAAGTTATGTAGGTCAGATAGTAAGTTTGCTAAACGTTTTAAGGTTATAAACTGCTTCTTTGGCTTTTGAGAACTATTCTGCAACTTGCCTGCTTCACAATTGGTGAGGCCTGGGGATGTATGGAATTAACCACACCCTTAACTATGCTGGAAGGAGTCACACTTCATTGGCACCTAGTGCATAATTAAAACAACTTACCAGATTTTACATTAAAGTTAAAAATTGCTAAGAGTTATCATTATAACATGTAATTGAGACCACTGAAAATGGATTCACCAGCAAGGTGTGTAAGAACAGTAAAATGTGTTTTTAGTAAAAGATTATAAGAAGGCATGGAATGAAAATTTTTGCCTGAGGTTAAAGGATTGTTTTAAATTAGATAAGATAAAGCTAAAGGCTTAAACAAGTTGTGGAAGGTTTCTAAAAACTGATCTTGCAAAAGAAATGCTGTGTGTGAACATAGAATAGAATAAATTCAAAACGGTATTATATGTTTTTTATGTAAATTGAGCATTGAAATAAAAGAACAAGAAGGTTTCCTTAAGGTGCTAATCTGCTCTTTAGCAAAATTTGTAAAGGATTACAAAGTTTTATAAGAATCTCATCTCATGGTCAAACTGGTTAAGATTAGATAGAATTGTCTGTAAGGTTTTCCTAGAAAATTGGGGTTGACATTAAGAGTAAACTAATGTAAGGGTAAAATTTGGCTTTCTCTCCCTTGTACAAGATTTTCATGTAATAACAAAGGGAAATGAAAGATTTTTGTTTGTCTTGTGAATAAACTGCCAAGGAAAAGAAAGAGAAGACAGGAAATAAACTGGAAAGCTAAGTCTTTCCTCTTAATGAGTAAAGGTTTTTGCCTTGTTTTGAAATTTTGAAACATCATTTTGGCAAAATAAATAATTTATGGTAATCTAGAGTTCTGTTTCATAATATCAAGTGCTTTGAACCTCTAACATATTTGAGAGGTTGCCCAAAATCAAATTTCAGTTTCAAAATTATATTTCCTGACCCCCAGATTTTACATGCTACGGAGGGCCCCTATTGCATCCAAAAGAGAGGTAAATAGGATTATTTGACATATTTAAGTATGTGGGATTGCCAAAATGATGCTTCATCTTCATCAGGTTATATTTCAGTGAATAATATTAACGTACATTCCAAAATTGTATGGGATTTCTAAAATTCTAATGTCTGATTATATGCTATCAATCATAATTAAGATTATTACAGTACGTTATTATAAACCACAGATAACCAAATTTCTTTATCAATTGTGTTTTTAACTGTAAGTACCCTGAACATTTTGTTATTCACAGACAACTGTTGTCTTGTTTTGATCCTCTTCAAAAGATGGTTTTAATCAGCTATGGAACTTTGACAGGTGCTCTCAAATGCAGGTTTCTGATAACTTTGGAGATTGTGACATTTGAATGCTGGAAAAACGTATAGGACTCATGAAGAGTTAAAATGTTCATGAATATCAAGCAGAACAAGAGTTAATGGAATGGACTGAACTAATAGAAAGCTGAAGTAATCTTTTATTAACTGTTGCTTAAAACATTGCTGATCCTTGTTTTGTTTTTCAGAGTTAAAGAAACTTTTATTTTGAGCTATTTACAGTCTTTAATAATTGAGTAAGTTATACTCCTGTGAACAAAATTTGGAGCATGTTTGTTTCTCTCTGCCTGGTTCCTCTAGAATTTGGAAACTATCTGTGAGTATTCTTAACTTATAGCAATATGGTTATTTGCATCAGTGCAATAAGAATCCATTTTCTTTTGCTACAGGATGCAATTGGAGAAGCTGGTTGTTTTACCAAGGCTTTGACTGGAAGGGTATGCTTTCCTTTAAGGAATCAAGCTCAACTTGCAGAGCTGATAAAAGCCCCTTGGGAAAACTGGCCTCATACCTTGTCTACACAGTCCCTGTACAGGGTTCCTACCCTGTATGGGGAGTAAAGAATGTCACTTTCTAACAGGCCCAGGAACCCCATGTCCTTGGGACCTCAAGAAGAAAGGAATTTACCCAACTCATAGGTATTTGGGGTACAAACACATGGCTAGGCTCAACTTTAAAAGGTGTTATCTGAGATTCCTTGTGGAACAGAGTTCCTTCAAAGCCAGTTTGAAAAGGCTATGTAAAAATAATTATTTTTGTTGCACTTTATGCAAACAAGCAGGCCAAATATAAGACTAAAGTTTATTTTGCAAACAACTCAGTCCTATCATGATTTGTTTTTAACAAAAATGAGGACTGGAGAGAGAGAAATTATGTCTCAAACCTTATCATACATCTGTCATTAAATTCTAGACCAATTAGTTGTTTTAAAGTTTTTTTGCCTACATTTTAGACTAACCCTGTTTATTCCTGTGAATCAACTAGTGATCTCCTCCTGCAGCTCAGAAGAAAAAAAAGGGATGGATAATGTAAAAATCTGAATCAATATTCCAGTTCTGGGCAATTATCCTGCAAATCCTGCCAGGTGATAGGAGTAAATAGGGTGCCCATAACCTGGAGGTTTCTTTTTGGGAAAATAAGACCAAGAGAGCTAACAAAAGCCAAACCCCATGCACCCAAATCTTAGCAGGTAACTATAGCCACCTGTTTTCTGGACATGCTGGGAGCCTCGGGATTTTTCAGGCTGCCTTTACCCCCCAACCTTTTGTCTCATTTTGATACAAGTCTTCTAATAACCCAGTTTGTCTCTTCTCGTCTTCAGACCATCAAACTCCAAAGTTCATGCAACCAGAGCCGCAGATGATGGCCCATTTTTTACTGGAGATCCTTAGACAAGCTTCTGAGGGAAAACTGACTGCCATCTTCTCAAAACAGCACTCCCTGTCAGCAGGAAGCAGTTAAGATAGATCTTTGGGCCAGGCATGGTGGCTCACACCTGTAATCCCAGCACTTTGGGAGGCCGAGGCGGGCGGATCACAAGGCCAGGGGATCGAGACCTTCCTGGCTAACACAGTGAAACCCCATCTCTACTAAAAAAATACGAAAAATTAGCCAGGTGTGGTGGCGAGCATCTGTAGTCCCAGCTATTCGGGAGGCTGAGGCAGGAGAATGGTGTGAATCCAGGAGGCAGAGCTTGCAGTGAGCCGAGATCGCACCTGCACTTCAGCCTGGGCAACAGAGCGAGATTCCATCTCAAAAAAAAAAAAAAAGACAGGTTGATCTTCATTCCTGTTCTAAGGGCAGTTAGTCGTACCTCTATAGAGGGTGGAATGATTGATAGAAGCAGAAGGCAGACAAATGTCTAGGCAGACAGGGAAGGGCCCCTGGCCTAAAACCTCACCTTCAAGTCTAAAACAGCCTGAAGGCTGAAAGACTGGAGTGCTAGTCCCAGATGAAACCTGTGACCAAGAGGGAGAACTTCTGCCCCTGTTTGCCCACCCCTTCCCAATTGATACTTTCTGAATAATGCCTTTTAACCCATCGAATGCTGCCTTTTCCAATACTACCTATTTCCAATACTACCAGGCTTGCCTGGGCATGTCCACATATACATTGGGGGATGGGGTGGGGCCACCAGGAATTCATGCCTTATTCAGGGGAGGAGCCTGGCCTCATAAGCTCATATGTGGTGGTCCTGGTATTCAATTGTAAGGGAGAAACCTGCTTGGAGAATCCCTCTCTTTGCTGAGAGCTTTCCTTTCACTTAGTAAATTCCTCCCTCCTCACCCTTCAATGTGCTCGCATACCTAATTTTTCCTGGTTGTGAGACAAGAACCTGGATTTAGTTGAACTAAGGAGCAAAAATCCTGCATCACTACATATATGTAATATGTAATATGTATGTACATATGTTGTACATATATTACATATATGTAACTAAAAACAAGAGAAATAATTCTGTATGCAAAGTGTATAAGAAAAGCAAGATATGTTTTTGGTCAGCAAGTTTATAAGAAAGGCATGAAAATGTGGTTTTTGTTAAAAAATGTCATTTTGTCTAGTTAGGTTATTTAAAGGTTGTTTCAAAATGAAGGCAGAAAGAAATAGTATAGAAAAAATGGAATGAATGTTAAAAGTTTTAAAAAAGAAAGAACAATAGTAAAAGAATTTTTTTGTGATTAAACTAGATTAAATGAATTTATTATAAGGATTGAAATTTAGTACTTAGTATTAAAAGTACATCTAATATAAAAGTATAATTTAGTTTTCTCTTTTAAAAAGATTTTCATGTAGTACTGAGATATAGTAAAATATTTTTGTCTTTTTGAGTAAACTTCAAAAGAGAAAGAGAGAGAGAGAAACCAGTTTTGTGTGTCTTATGCTGCCTTTGTTAGGTCTTTGGTAAAATGAGTCTCCTCTCTATCAAAGATCAAAATCAACAGATTTTTGCTTATTAAAATCTTTTTCTTTTTTTTTTTTGAGACAGAGTTTCGCTCCCATCTCCCAGGCTGGAGTGCAACGGCACAATCTCAGCCCACTGCAATCTCTGCCTCCCGGGTTCAAGCGATTCTCCTGCCTCAGCCTCCTGAGTAGCTTAGATTACAGGCATCCGCCACCATGCCTAGCTAATTTTTGTACTTTTAGTAGAGACGAGGTTTCACCATATTGGCCAAGCTGGTCTCGAACTCCTGACCTCAGGCAATCCCACCTGCCTCGGCCTCCCAAAGTGCTGGGATTACACGTTTGAGTCACTGCACCCAGCCAAAATCTTTTTATTATTACTTTGGCTAAATTAGTGACTGTTATTTTACAGTGACTTATGGTCTTTTTTGATCAAGCCTTCTAAACCTTTGACATATTTGACAGGCTTCTCAAAATCAAATTTCAAAATCAAAATTAAGTCTTTTTAACCTCAAACTAACTTTGAGATATTCCAGAGGGCCCTTGAAGCATACCAAAGGAAAATAATAAACAGGCTTATTTGATATGTTAAATTATATAAGAAGTATTATCATGTAAGACGTGGTGTTTAATCTTTTTTGGAGTTACATTTGTATAGATATGTCATTAATATGTCTTCCAAAATTGTACGAGCTTCCTAAAATTCTGATAGGTCCTGGTATGTTATCAGTCATAATTATAATTATTATGTTAAATTATTGTAGGTGACAGAAATAACCAGATTTCCTTGTCAACTGTGTCTTTAACCATGACTATCTTAAGTCTTGTTGTCCACAGTTAATTGTTTAATTCTGATACTTTTTCCTGAATGTTCTTTAAAAGCAATTGTAATCCTAAAGTGTTATATCTTCAAAGAGGTTCATGGAAAAGATGGTGTTTACAGTTTGGATATTTGTCCCCTCCAAATCTCATGTTGAAATTTGATCACCAATTTTGGAAATGGGGCCTAATGAGAGGTGTTTGGGTAAAGGGGGCAGACCCCTTGTGAATGGCTTGGTGCCATTTCTGTGGTAACAAATGAGTTCTTGATCTATTAGTTTACATGACAGCTGATTGTTTAAAAGAGCATGGCATCCTTCCCCTGTCTCTCTCTTTCTTCCTCTCTTGCCATGTGACATGCCAGCTACCCTCCTCCTTCTGCCATGATTGGAAGCTTCTTGGGGTTCTTACTGGGGCAAATGCCAGTGCCATGCTTCTTGTACAGCCTCCAGAACCCTGAGCCAAATAAACCCCTTCCTAAATTACCCAGCCTCAGGTATTCTTTCACAGCAATGCAAAATGGACTGAGAAGGATGGAAAGACTCTGATAAGTACAGGCTTCTGATAGCCTTAAATTCATATCACTAGACTGTGTAAGAATCCCCCAGACCTCTAATGAAAAGATTTACTGGTTTGTAAAACTGCTAAGCGGGACAAGAATTAATTAAATACCAAGAAAGTACAAGTCAGCCAGTACTGAAATTGTTAAGATATGCAATTTAAAGGAACTCCATGATCCAAGTCAAATTACATATGATAGCACATTGCTATCATACTGTAGTAAACAGTGCTATGTACCTGAATTAAAGAAATAAAATTGGTATTTAAAAGGCTATAAATGGCTGGGTGTAGTGGCTCACGCCTGTAATCCCAGCCACTTTGGGAGGCCGAGGCAGCAGATCACCAGAGGTCAGGAGTTCGAGACCAGCCCGGCCAACTTGGTGAAACCCTGTCTCTACCAAAAAATAAAAAAATTAGTTGGGTGTGGTGGCACACACCTGTAATCCCAGTTACTTGGGAGGCTGAGGCAGGAGAACCGCTTGAACTCAGGAAGAAGAGGTTGCAGTGAGCTGAGATCGTGCCACTGTACTCTAGCCTGGGCGACAGAGTGAGACCCTGCCTCAAAAAATAAAATAAAAATAAAAGACTATAAATCCAATTTTAAGCATGGACTCATGGAGAGCCTGGGTGGCTGCCTGGTCCTTCCTGAGTCCTTGATGCTTTCATTTTTAAAAGCTCTGCACTCCATGGCTCATCATGGAAGAGATAAAATAATCCAAATAATGAAAAAAACATACATTGGTGTGGTGACTGTTCTAAAATTGCTGATATGGTTTATGACCAATGTTTGGTTTATCAAATTTATAATCCCGAGAAGACAATCAAAACTTTAGGTATGGGCCATTGGACCTTTATAGTGGTCTTCTTTCTCTTTCTTTTCCTTCCTTCCTTCCTTCCTTCCTTCCTACCTCCCTTCCTCCCTCCCTTCCTCCCTTCCTCCCTCCCTTTCTCCCTCTCTTTCTCTCTCTCTTTCTCTCTTTCTTTCGTCTGTCTTGCTCTGTCATCCAGGTTGAAGTGCAGTGGTCTCAGCTCACTGCAACCTCCGCCTTCCAGGTTCAAATTATTTTCATGCCTCAGCCCTCTGGGTAGCTGGAACTATAGGCGTGTACCACCACACCTGGATAATTTTGGTATTTTTAGTAGAGATGGGGTTTCGTGATGTTGGCCAGGCTGGTCTTGAACTCCTCTTCTCAAGTGATCTGCCCACTGTGGCCTCCCAAAGTGCTGGGATTACAGTCATGAGCCACTGCGCCTGCCCTCAGTTGCCATTTTCAGTGCATGTTTTCTGGTTTAGAAGTTTTCCCATGCAGGAAGCCAATTCTATAACAGTAGCTAAAAGGTTATTAGAAAATGTGTTTTCCTCATGGGGGATTCCTGAAGAGATCTCTAGGGATAAAGGTACTTGTTTCACTGGAGAAGTTGGAAAACAGTTAAATAAAGTATTACAGATTTAATAGCCTTAGGTGAAGCTAACTGAATTGACTGGATTGCCTTGATATTGCAGATTGATAAAAGGTATTGCAGATTAATAAAAGCCAGATGCACTTACAGTGGAGAATGTAAGTTGACCCCCTTATAAAAGGATCCTAAACTCGGATATGACTAAATGTTGCGAGGCTTTGATGCATTATGTCAAAGTGTATTTTCACCAGGTAAAGGAAGCTTTGCAGAATGCACTGACCAAGAGCACTCAAATCCTTCATGATCTAGAACCCAGAGATTTGGTTTTCTGGAAATGGTATCAGAAAAAGACTGCCTTTGCCACTCAATCTGCAGCCAAACTTTGGGACTTTGATACTTGAATCCATATCTCACAAATTAAAAAGGGCCCCCCCAAACTCTTGGAACTGTATACCCATTATAAACTTTAAGGTAAAGCTAACCAGGGAAGTTTCTCCCCAGAAGCAGATGGTATCCTAGACTTAAGCAGCTTCCCCAAGATCACAAATCAAAATTTCTCTGCCATCATGAAACTCTTATTTTTCTTAATCTTTCCTTACGTATGCCTACCTCTTGAACTTGGCAGGATAATGCTGTAATTAGAATTTCACAATGAGTAGCTTTTATGGGTAAATTCATGGAGTGTTGAATCTGTCATGCCAAACCCAGATTTTACATGACCTAAGGGATCCTTTAGTTAACCTGGTGGGTAATGTTAGCAACATTCCTAACATAACTGTTGTTCAAATTGTACTAGTAGTAAGACTTCTAAACCGACTTGCTCTCACTCCCTGTTTTAATTTAATCCAATAATGGGATACAAGAACAATGACCAATGAGTATATCACAAGACAGGTTTGCACCAATGCCCAAATGGAGTTTCTTGCAAACTGACTTATGTGTCAGGATATGATAGCACTCTTTCAACCCGTAATTCTGCCTCAGGCCCTTGGTTTGAAATTGCTAATTTCACCATTCCAGGTAATGTATCCATGAACAACAGAACTGGAAAAGGGGCCTTATGTCTATCCGTGGGGTATACTTTTATTTGTGGAGGATTTTGCAGCCAACTTTACACATGGGCAACCTTATGCCTTTGATGGATTGAGCATGAAGGGCCAATGTTAGATTTATTTTCCATGGCTTGGAGTAAATATAAATGAGGCAATAATTTGAAATGTATTCCTGACTGGGTGTGTTGGCTCACATCTGTAATCCCAACACTTTGGGAGGCTGAGGTGGGAGGATCATTTGAGCCTAGGAGTTTGAGACCAGCCTAGTGAGACCTTGTCTCTACAAAAATATTTTAAAATTTTAGCTGGGCATGGTGGTACATGTCTGTACTCCCAGCCACTTGGGAGACTGAGGTAGGGAGAATTGCTTGAGCCTGGGAGGTTGAGCAAGACCCTGTCTCAAAGAAGGAAAGAAAGAAAGAAAAAGAAAGAAGAAAGAAAGAAAGAAAGAAAGAAAGAAAGAAAGAAAGAAAGAAAGAAAGAAGGAAGGAAGGAAGGAAGGAAGGAAGGAAGGAAGGAAGGAAATTCCTTATAATCATCTCTATAGCAGATTCTATTGCAAAGGCTATGGTTGCATAACAGACTTTAAATTCTCTTGCTAAAGTTGTACTAGATAATAGAATTGCTCTAGATTCCCTACTGGCTGAATAGGGAGAAATCGTGCAGTTGCTGACACGTTTTGCACATGGATGAATATGCTGGGTATTATAGAGACTCATTTGCAGAGGATTAATGAACAGGCCGCTTGGTTAAAATAGGTACACTCTTCATCTGGTTTATTCTTTGATTTATTTGATTTTTGTTTGTTTAGCTCATGGGGACCCTAGCTAAGGGGCATCTGCAAACTGTTGGTATTATCCTCCCGATGACAGTGGTCACCTTGGTGCACTGTATTCTCTCAAAAGTTTTAAATGTTTGCTAACATGCAGCCATTTGTAGAATGTCAAATTGTTACTCTTTGGCTAGAATGACAAAACTCAAAGAAATGCATGATCATGAGGATACCATAACCTATGAATGACATGCTGAGACGAGAAACCGAAATGATGGTAATTGAAAGTGGTGCTCTAAAGCCTTAGATTTTGGTCACACTCTGACCTAGGAGAGAACCCGAGCAAAAGAAGGGAATTGTTAAATAAATGTATTGTTTTGCACTGAGCTCCTGTCACTTGCACGGCTAGTTTTTGGACCAGGTTGTACCGAAGGCATTCCCCTCTGGATGCTTCCTGCCTTTGCACCTGCCACCAGAGTCAGTGGAGAAACTACATTGTCTCCAAGCTTGTGTGATCTGATCTCTGTAGCATATGTATGAGCCATTTGTTGCTCGAGTCTCTGAGAATCCAATCATTCCAGAAAACACTTCCAGTTGGGAACAGACAGGAACCAATTTAAGAATTCAACTTCAAGTTCAAGAAACAGTCCCCTAGGTCACAGAGCAACTGTATGGGGGGATTGCAGCCTCCTTTTCAGCATGAACATGTTCATACCAACACAGACCAGGACTGCTGCCCACTGCAGGTCACCATTCTCCATTTCATTTTTATTCCAATTGCCATGAGAATAATATTTACCCTGTTTACTATCAGTGTGAGCAAGGACAGGCAGCATCATCAAGACTGGTATTCCAAGGTTCTCCTGTTCATAGTGGTGGGAAACTGCACTGGACCCAGTGCACAGCGTTCAACTCTTTGGTGGGATCCTCAGTAGCCATTCTCTCTGAGTCCATAGTTACTGCTTTCCATCCCTTGGGGGCAGCCCTGAGTCTAGTCCAGTAGTAATCAGATTCCAGCTTGGAAGGGGCGGCTGGATTGTGTATCTAGTTAGTAGTGCACATGCTCTTCAAGTTCCTGGGGCTCCCGTTAGAGGACGGAGAAGTGTTGAATCAGGGGGAACAACAACTATGGTTTATAAACATATTTTAATGTAAAAATTTGCATTTGAATGGAGCGGCCCTGTTTTCTGTATCAAAAACCCATTTGGTGTTATTGAGTTTGTTGTTCTTTATTCTTTTATCTCAGTGAAAACTGTTGATCTTGTTCTAGGAAAAAATTAAACTCTTTAAATTCTCCCCCTAAAAATTTTCTTTTAACAAATAAAATACTAATATCTAGGTCTTATTGTTACAGGAAAGGGGTCCTCACTTAGACCCTAAGAGAGGGTTCTCAGATCTTGCATAAGAAATAATTCAGGGCAAGCCCATAGCATAAAGTGAAAGCAAGTTTATTAAGAAAGTAAAGGAATAAGGCCGGGCTCGGTGGCTCATGCCTGTAATCCCAGCAATTTGGGAGGCCCAGGTGGGCGGATCACCTGAGATCAGGAGTTCGAGACCAGCCTGACCAAAACGGAGACAACCCATCTCTACTAAAAATACAAAATTAGCCAGGCGTGGTGGAACATGCCTGTAATCCCAGCTACTCGGAAGGCTGAGGCAGGAGAATCACTTGAACCTGGGAGGCGGAGGTTGTGGTGAGCCGAGATCGCGCCATTGCACTCCAGCCTGGGCAAAAAGAGCGAAACTCCGTCTCAAATAAAAAAAGTAAAGGAATAAAAGAATGGCTACTCCTTAGACAGAGCAGCCCTGAGGGCTGCTGGTTGCCCATTTTTATGGTTATTTCTTGATTATATGCTAAACAAGGGATGGATTATTCATGCCTCCCCTTTTAGACCATATAGGGTAACTTCCTGACGGTGCGATGGCATTTGTACATTGTCATGGCATTGATGGAAATGTACCAGCGAGGACAACCAGAGGTCACTGTCATTGCCATCTTAGTTTTGCTGGGTTTTGGCCTGATTCTTTACTGCAAACTGTTTTATCAGCAAGGTCTTTATGACCTGTATCGTGTGCTGACCTCCTACCTCTTTCTGTGACTTAGAATGTCTAACAGTCTGGGAATGTAGCCCCATAGGGTTTTAGCTTCATTTTACCCAGTCCCTACTCAAGATGGAGTTCCTCTGGTTCAAATGCCTCTGACATTATGTCTCAAAGGAGGAAGTCTGAATCCTGCAGGTTGAAGACAGCAAAGAATTGACTGATACTAGATACAAATACCAGTAGATTTAACTATTGTTTTTATTAGAATTGTGATTGTTTTTGTTAGTGCTCTGGATTCAAAATTTTGTAGGTTTTCAGAAGTCTGCCCTTAACCAATTTCCACCATAGACTCTGTTATTTTAGTGCACAATCTTGCAGTATGTGAGTTTTGTAGGATTGCATATAAGATGTTACACCAGAAATAACCTGTACTTGTTTATGTGTCTGTCCTGGAACAGTACGTCTGAGACTTTACTACTTATATGAATCATCTGGAGTTATTTCTAAAATGTAGATTTTGATTCAGTAGGTCTGGGGTGGGGCCTGAGATTGTGCACTTCTAAAAAGCTTCCAATCAATGTCCATGCTGCTCATCTAAGGACTACATTTGAACAGCAGAGTCTTGGAATAGACTGTGAATTTGAGAACAAGGGTTGTGCCTTATTGGTCTAATATCATCAGTGCCTTTTGTATATGCCTGTTGAATGAATGGTCACTGACTCATCACTATGCACCCATCTCTACTGCCTGTAGGAACAAACCACAGACAAGTAGATCATGCGCCCACATCCTTAACCAAACTCATCCTTCACCACATTCCCTTCCTCACTGATGAGTTTAGGGCTGATGTAGTGGCCCCAGCACAGCAGGAAGAATCTTGGAATCTTGGAATGTAACTCTTCAAATATGGAAATAAGTTCAGGTATTTACTTTTAATTGACTGTGATTTTCCATGGTAGTAAACCTCTTTTAATTCGTTTTCGCTTTGTTAATATTATCTGTTAAATATATCTGGAATGAATTTCTATATAGTTTGGTCTAAAATCAGTAGTTTTAAGAATGACAAAACCTCCTGGGTCAACAAGGACATGCTGCTCTTAATCAGCCTATGCTATTAATATATGGTATAGACCAGGAGTTAAAGATAATTAACCATAAAGTTTCCAAACATATAAGATCCAAAGAGGTGCATGGATTCTTGCAGTTGAATCCAAAGCTCATACCATTTGCCACACGAAGCCCATTAGTCAAAAGACATGGTGTTGGGGCAAGGAAAGTAACTTTATTTCAGAGAACCAGCAAGCCAAGATGGCAGACTAGTGTCCAAAATAACCATCTTAAGTTAATAGAATTTTAGGCTTTTTTATGTTAGAGGAAAGGAGAATTAGAGAGCCTTCAGTTGAGATCAAGAGGTGACTGATGATCATAGATACCTGGGTGGCAGTTAGGGTCCAAGTTGGGGGGTTGTGAAGCTTCTTTGCCCTTGGTCAGGTCAAAATGCTCCTATACATCTTTAACATAACATTGTTACTTGTGTGTACACTTCTTTATCTTCTTAAAGATTAGTTTTGAGAAGGGACTATCATCATCCTTCCCTTTAAAAAGTTAGGCTATAAATTAAATTCCTCCCATAGTTAACTCAGCCTATGTACAAAGATAAATAAAAGTAGTTAACCCAAAAGATATCACTATGGGCATGGGGAGGTTAGGAGCAAAATGGAGCTAGTCATGTTAGGCTTCCTTTTGTTACTGGAAAGGTGTCCTGATCCAGACCCCAAGAGAGAGTTCTTGGATCTCGTGCAAGAAAGTTTGGATCAAGTCCACAGAGTAAAGTGAAAGCAAATTTATCAGGAAAATAAAGAAATAAAAAAATGGCTACTCCATAGGCAGAGCAGCCCTGAGGGTTGCTGGTTGCCCATTTTGATAGTTATTTCTTGATTCTATGCTAAACAAGGGGTATTTAGCATAGTTATTATGCCTCTCCTTAGCATAGTTATTCGTGCCTCTCTTTTTTAGACCATATTGGGTAACTTTCTGATGTTTCTATGGCATTTGTAATCTATCATGGCGCTGGTGGGAGTGTAGCAGTGAGGACCACCAGAGGTCACTCTCATCACCATCTTGGTTTTGGTGGGTTTTGGCCGTCTTCTTCACTGCAACCTGTTTTATCAGCAAGGTCTTTATGACCTGCATCTTGTGCCGACCTCTTATCTCATCCCATGACTTGGAATGCCTTAGCTGTCTGCGGATGCAGCCCAGTAGGTCTCAGCCTTATTTTACCCAGCCCCTATTCAAGATAGAGTTGCTCTGGTTCAAACACCCTGACATTTCCTCCCTCCCTTTTATAAGAGAACCCTTAATCCTAAAGGTTGCAGAGGGATGAAGATCCATCTTTCGTAACTTCTTCAGGCTGAATAGGGGCAGTAATATTCCTGCCTAACTATTAGGGTCTCTTTTGTGCAAGGTAGAGAGGAGCTCAGTAAGAAAGCATCAATATGGTGAGGGCCATTCATAACTCCAAGTTTCGACAAAAGATGCTATCTGAAAGATTAATACGTGTTCAATTTGAGAAAATTGAGGGTAATGTAGGCATGCGAAGCTCTGCGCCCCATAAATCAGGCCACTAAAATGACTTGGCCTTATAATTGGCTTATGTCTGTCTTTTCCCTTTAGTCTCATTAAGTTAAAAAGGATTATTTAAATTTAATAATGTTTAAATTTTTGTACTCCTTAGCAATTTCTTCTCCATCTCTAGAGGTGAGAGATACAAAAAAACTTAAATGATAAATACTGTTCTATCAACAATAAGCCAGATTCTAGAAAAATAAAAAAAATTAAAATACTGTACTAAAAGCTTTACACCATCATCCTTCTCAATCCTCATAAAGGCCCTAAAGTTAGGTCCTATCATGATTCCCATTTTGTTTTATTTATTTATTTATTTATTTTTAACATGATGTTTTGAAATATTTACACAATGTAGACTGGCTGAATGGAACTAATTAACATATGCATTACTTCACATACTTCATACTTTTTTGTGGTGAGAACACTTAAAATCTACTCTCAGTGATTTTCGAGAATACAGTACATTGTTATTGACTGTAGTCACCATGTTGTACAATAAATCTTGTGAACTTATTCCTTCTGTCCAAATGAAATTTTGTGTCCTTTTGTTATCCCAATTCCGACTCCAAGACAAGGTTCTTGGATCTCATGCAAGAAATAATTCAGGGTGCCTGTAATCCCAGCACTTTGGGAGGCCGAGGCGGGCGGATCACGAGGTCAGGAGATCGAGAACATCCCGGCTAAAACGGTGAAACCCCGTCTCTACTAAAAATACAAAAAATTAGCCGGGCGTGGTGGCGGGCGCCTGTAGTCCCAGCTACTCGGGAGGCTGAGGCAGGAGAATGGCGTGAACCCGGGAGGCGGAGCTTGCAGTGAGCCGAGATCCCGCCACTGCACTCCAGCCTGGGCGACAGAGCGAGACTCCGTCTCAAAAAAAAAAAAAAAAAGAAATAATTCAGGGTGAGTCAATAAAGTGAAAGTAAGTTTATTAAGAAAGTAAAGGAATAAAAGAATGGCGATTCCATAGGCAGAGCAGCCCCGAGGGCTGCTGGTTGCCTGTTTTTATGGTTATTTCTTGATTATATGCTAAACAAGTGGTGGATTATTCATGCCTCCCCTTTTTAGATCATATAGGGTAACTTCCTGATGTTGCCATGGCATTTGTAAACTGTCATGGTGCTGGTGGGAGTGTAGCAGTGAGGACGACCAGAGGTCACTCTCATGGCCATCTTGGTTTTGGTGGGTTTAAGCCAGCTTCTGTACTGCAACCTGTTTTATCAGCAAGGGAAAGACCCGTATCTTGTGCCGACCTGCTGTCTCATCCTGTGACTTAGAATGCCTAACCATCTGGGAATGCAGGCCAGTAGGTTTCAGCCTTATTTTACCCAGCTCCTATTCAAGATGGAGTTGCTCTGGTTCAAATGCCTCTGACACTTTGACCAAGTCTTAGTTTATAGATAAGGGAGTGGAGTCTTATTTTATAGATAAGGGAGTGGAGGCTTATACAATTACATTAACTTGCCCAAGATCATGTAGCCAGTAAAGTCATGGAGCTGGCATTCAAATCCAAGTCTATCTCATTCCAGTCATTAGCACACTATTCTCTGCTACCTTGTAAAATATAGGATGGGTTTTGAACATCCACCAGTGGAGGTAGAATTTGGGCAGACACTGAGACAAAGCCTAAGGCAGTTCAGGTGTTTTCTCTGACATTATGGATGAGCCTTTTTAGGGTGTATTGTTTTAAGCCACACTTTGACCTAAGGCTTTAGAGCCACCCAACAATATAATACAAGTCTTTCTTTTGAATACTAATTTTGCAATTCTTTGTACACAAATGACATGAAAATAGGCCCATTCTATGCAGTTTAAAAAAATACTTGGGGCTGGGCGTGGTGGCTCACGCCTGTAATATCAGCATTTTGGGAGGCCAAGGTGGGTGGATCACTTGAGATCAGGAGTTCGAGACCAGCCTGGCCAACATGGTGAAAACCTGTCTCTACTAAAAATTAGCTGGGCGTGGTGGAGGGCACCTGTAATCCCAGCTACTTGGGAGGCTGAGGCAGGAGAATCGCTTGAACCTGGGAGGTGGAGGTTGCAGTGAGCCGAGATCATGCCACTGCACTCCAGCCTGGGTGACAGAGTGAGACTCCATCTCAAAAAACAAAACAAAACTTGAAAATACTTGGTATATTAGTTTGCTAGGGCTATCATAACAAACTACCATAGATTAGATGACCTACACAGCAAAAATGTATTTCTTACAATTGTGGAGGCTAGAAGTCCTAGATCAAGATGCTGGCAGGATTGTTTTTTTCCAAGGTCTCTCTCCTTGGCTTGCAGATGGCTGTCTTCTTCCTATGTCTTCACATGGACTTTCCTCTGTGTCCTAACCTCTTCTTATGACCCCAGTCATATTAGATTAGGTCTCACCCTAATGACCTCATTTTAGCCTCATTACTTTTTAAAAGACTCTATCTCCAAGTACAGTCACATTCTGAGGTACTGGGGATTAGGACTTCAACATGTGAATTGGGGACCTGGGGACCTATTCAGCCCATCACACTTGGATCAGCAAGGAACCCCTTGAGAATAATCCTGGATATAGAAGAGAGATCTTCAATTTCTAATTCAAAATTAACAATCACATGTGTTTTACACCTGACTTCTAATAATGGTTATTTAAAATTGTTACTCTAATTTTTCATCCTCTTAGAAAATAAATGTATTCATGCTGAATGCAAGGCTTTTTAGGAATTGTGGTCTACAATGTGCAAGAATGCAGGCCAAGGACTGTAAACACAAAAATATAGGAGGCAATATGCCCTCAGCATTACACTGCCTAGAAAGTAGATTTCTTATCTTAAAAATCGTTTCAAATCACACAATCTATAGAATGGGAGAAGATATTCACAAACCATGTGTCTGACAAAGGCCTAATCTAACAAATCAACAAGTAAAAAACAAATGACCCCATTAAAAATGGGCAAAGGATGTGTCTCAAAAGAAGACGTACAAGTGGCCAACAAACATATGAAGAAATGCTCAGCATTATTAGTCATTAAAGAAATGCAAATCAAAACCACAGTTAGATATCAGCTCACACCAGTCAGAATAGCTATTATTAAAAAGCCAAAAAACAACATGCTGGTAAGGCTGTGGAGAAAAGGGAATGCATATACACTGTTGGTGGAAGTGTAAATTAGTCCAGTCACTGTAGAAAGCAGACTGGAGATTTCTCAAATAACTTAAAACAGAGTTACCGTTTGACCATTTGACCCAGCTGTCCCATTACTGGCTACATACCCTAAAGAAAATAAATCATCCTAACAAAAAGACACATGTTCATCACTGCAAAGACATGGAATCAACCCAGGTGCCCATCAATGGTAGATTAGATAAAGAAAATGTGGTACATATATGCCATGGAATCCTACACATCCGTAAAAAAGAATAAAATTATGTCCTTTGCAGCAACATGGATGGAGCTGGAAGCCACAATCCTAAGCAAATTAATGCAAAAACAGAAAACCAAATAGATCTGTTCTCACTTATAAGTGGGAGCTAAGCATTAAGCACACATAATCATAAATATGGGAATAATAGACACTGTGGACTACTATAGCGGGGAGATGGAGGGGTTGGGTTAAGCAACTACCTATTGGGTATACTCACTACCAGGGTAACAAGATCCATTCTACAAAAGTCAGCATCATGCAATATTCCCATGTTCCATTTACCTCTCTATTTATTCCCCAGCACTGATCTCTGAAATTAGCTCCACTCTCACAGATCTGCACATGTAGCCCCTGTATGTAAAATAAAACTGGAAATTAAAAAAAAATCATTTCAGGTCAGACATGGTGGCTCATGCCTGTAATCCCAGCACTTTGGGAGGCTGAGGCAGGCGAATCACTTGAGGTCAGGAGTTCGAGACCAACCTGGCCAACATGGTGAAACTCCGTCTCTAGTAAAAATACAAAAAAATTCACTGGGCATGGTGGCAGACACCTGTAATCCCAGCTACTTGGGAGGCTGAGGAAGGAGAATCACTTGAACCTGGGATGCAGAGTTTGCAGTGAGCCAAGATCGTGCCATTGCACCCTAGCCTGGGCAACAAGAGTGAAATTCCATCTCAAAAAAAAATCATTTCAATTTATTATTATATCTGACTACAAGAGTAATAGCAACTTGTAAAAGTGAAAAATTTTTAATACATTTATAAACTAGAAGGAAAGTCTCTAGGAATCTCACTCCTTATAGATGACCTCCAGGGCAGTGGTTTTCTGACCAGGAACACTTTTTTAAAAAAAGAAATCGTGTTAGCTTAATATGTAAAACAGATTAAAAAAAAAAAAAAAAAGCAAAGCTCATCCTTCTGGGTTCTCCCTTGGAGTTTACCTCCCTTCGATTTATCTACTGCGTGCTTTAGTAATCCAAACCCTGTAATACACATGCCACATTCTTTTCCTGATTTTCAGATAGTTAATAGTACTGGTTTATTTTTCTAATTGGATTCCTACACAACTTAGTCCAGTCAGTTACATCCTTTAAGGAAAGGCAGACCTGTGCAATTTGGGATTATGGTGTCTAACACAGAAACACACCATAATGAGGGATTTGGTTTCATCAGTTGCACAGTCCCCCTGTTTTTAGATTTTCTGATACTGAGTGATGCAGTAAGTCTCAAAGAAAATCAGCAAACTTCAGCCTCTTCAAAAAAAATTTTCAACTGTGGTTAAAAAAGCGCACATAAAATGTACCATGTCTATAATTTTTAAGGGTACAGTTCATTAGTGTTAAGCGTCTGCACATTGTTTGCAATAGATTTCCAGAACTTTTCCATCTTGCAGAACTGAAACTCTGTACCCATTAAACAACTTTCCATTTTCTCCTCTTCCCAGCCCCAGGAACCCCTGCATGAGCATAGGAGACAATGTCTTACTTGTGGGGCCTAATGGGTTCTCACTGCCAGAAATCATATCCAAGCAACTGCAATATTGAGAAGGGAGTTGGCTGTTTCATATATCCTATTTGGGGAAGTCATTTTGAGCTCTTCTCTTCCTCCATCCTTACTCCCATCCTCCGAGTCTCCTCCTTGCTCAGCTATCAGGATGGTGGCTGTGAGAGATAAAGTCCCTTATAGGTCCAAATACGGATTGCACCTGCAACTGAGCAGAGACATCATTGGGATGAAGCAAGGATGACTTTGGGAAGGAAGAAAACTGCATCGGTGATTGTCACTGGCCTTCTTTCTTTGTAATCTTCAATATAAGTGCCACTTTCCTGAGTACTCAATCTAAATTGTGTCCTTTTATCCACTTTCATGGATGAATCCTATACCTTTGCCAAATAATGCCAATCAAAATTTGACAGTTTATCTACCACTCTTTTTTGATACACTTTCTTCTCTTGGCCTCCAAGAAACCACACTAACTGGTTATCTCTCTGCAATTCTGGCTGATCCTTCTCAGTTCTTTTTGCTGATTTCTTCTCATATCCCTGACCTCTAAATGTTGGAGTCCCCAGAATTCGATCTCTTCCCTCCATGCTCAATGCCTTGGTGGTCTCATCCAGATTCATGGCATTAAATACCATCTCTATTCTCATAACTTTCTAATGTATATCTCCTCTGAACTCCAGACTCATTTATACCCTATAGGACATCTCTATTAGGATGTCTAAAATAGGCAACTCACAATTAAGGCCCAGACAAGTTCACCCCTCCCTCTGAAACTAGCTCCTTCTCTATTTCAGTTAATGGCAATTATATCTTTCCAATTGCTCAGGGCAAAGACCTGGGTACTATCCTTGCTTCTTTTCTTTCTCTCCCTAACCACTTTCAGTTTGCCAGCAAATCCTGTCTGCTCTACCTTCAAAATATATCTAGAATTCAACCACTTTTTACCACCCCTATTTGTCTAAGCCCTCATGATATTTTGCCAAAAATAATTGCAATGGTCTCCTCATCAGATTCTTTACGTTTGCCCTTGGCTGTCTGCAGCCTATTTTCATCACAGGTCAGAATGTTTCTGTTAGTATATATGACAGATTATGTTGCTCCTTTGCTCAAAATTCCTCAATAGTCTCCTTTGACACACCCAGGAGAAGCCAGTCCTTACTCTGATTTACTAAGCATTGCATCATCTGGTCTGTTACATTTTCCTTTTTTTTTTTTTTTTTTTTTTTAGGTGGTGTCTCGCTCTTGTTGCCCAGGCTGGAGTGCAGTGGCGCAATCTTGGCTCCCTGCAGCCTCTGCCTCCAAGTTCAAGTGATTCTCCTGCCTCAGCCTCCTGAGTAGCTGGGACTACAGGTGCCTGCCACCACGCCTGGCTAATTTTTTTAATTTCTACTAGAGATGGGGTTTCGCCATGTTGGCCAGGCTGGTCTTGAACTCCTGGCCTCAAGTGATCTGCCCGCCTTGGCCTCCCAAAGTGCTGGGATTACAGGCGTGAACCACTGGGCCCGGCCTCCTCCCCAGTTTAAAATCCCCCTTTCTTGTTGTTTTTTTTTTTCTCCTCCGGTTTTATAAATATCTGCCATACCATAGAGTTTACATATTTATCTTGTTTATTTTCTATCTTCTATAATAGAACGTAACCTTCCTACAAGAGAGGTTTTTTTTTGTGTTTTTTTTTTGAGACGGAGTCTCGCTCTGTCCCCCAGGCTGGAGTGCAGTGGCGCGATCTTGGCTCACTGCAAGCTCCGCCTCCCGGGTTCACGCCATTCTCCTGCCTCAGCCTCCCAAGTAGCTGGGACTATAGGCGCCTGCCACCACGCCCGGCTATTTTTTTTGTATTTTTAGTAGGGACGAGGTTTCACCGTGTTAGCCAGAATGGTCTCGATCTCCTGATCTCGTGATCCACCCGTCTCGGCCTCCCAAAGTGCTGGGATTACAGGCATGAGCCACCGCGCGCGGTCTGCAAGAGAGGTTTTGATCTCTCTTGTTTTATTTGTCTTTTTGACAGTATTAGCTCCAGTGCTTAGTACAATGCCTGGCACATAGTTAGCTCTTAATAAATATTTGTTGAAAAACTTCATAAACGTCATAAATTTGTGTGATTAATTGATCAATGTATCTGATAATTCTCCTAGAATGTGAACTCCTTGAGACCAGAGACCGAGCCTGTTTTATTCACTCCTGTATCCCTAGAACTGAGCACAAGGCCTAGTGGGTTAGTAGATGCTCAGTAAGTAAGTATGTTTTAAAATAAATAATTCAAGATGTCAACAATGCCAGTATTGACAGAAGGAATTTATTCAAGGGAACATGGTAATGCAGCTGTTGCAGCTAGGAGGCTGCCTAAACAGTCCCCAAATTAGTCTTCGAGTAGTATGGATTGTGTTAGGAGTCATTTTTCATGTATGCTTGAGCCTGACAACTTGAAATGACACATAATAGTGTGTAGCAGTGGTGTTGCATGTGCTTGGAGTTTGAGTTCTAAAGTCAACATGTGTGACAAAACTCATGTATGGAAAAAAATTACCATTAAAAGTCCCTTTCATCACCCACATACAACAGATTACAGAGTTTTATGTATTCTGTGCCATCTCTCAGTAAACTCAACATAGCCAGTTTTCCCTCCAGAGTTGGAACAGATGGCCATGGCTGTTTCTTTGGTTGAGTACCAGATGAAGTAGTTGGCTTGAATTTAAGAGCCATATTGTAGGGGGGAAAATTACATATATATGTATATATTCATCTGTATTATTTCCTTTTGCTGAGCATATAGTTGAATTCCAGCAACTTAAATGTTTGTGTACTGGAACGCCATTGTACCATTTGATCTTCAGCATTGTCAGATCCTTTTCATTGCTTATTATGGATCCAAGGCCTGGTAAGCGGAAGGGGGTCGAAAATAACCCTGTGGGGTCATTGCATAGTTGGCATGACCAATTAGAAGAACGTCAACCATAATGATTTTCCAAATTAGAAAAACATCCTTTCAGCTGGGTGCAGTGGCTCACGCCTGTAATCCCAACACTTTGGGAGGTTGAGGCTGTAATCCCAACACTTTGGGAGGTTGAGGTGGGCAGATCACTTGAGGCCAGGAGTTTGAGACCAGCCCGACCAACATGGTGAAACCCCATCTCTACTAAAAATACAAAAATTAGCCAGGTGTCATGGCAGGGACCTGTAATCCAAGCTGCTAGGGAGGCAGAGGCATGAGGATCACTTCAACCCAGGAGGCTGAGGTTGCAGTTAGCCAAGATTATGCCACTGCACTTCAGCCTGGGCAACAGAGAGAGACCCCGTCTCAAAAAAAAAAATCCTTTTAACTAAATTGAATACAGGCTCTAAACCCCTACAAAAAATAATAAAAAGCATATATGGAGTGCCCACTATATGCTGAGTACTTGCTGCTTTGTTTATATTGTCTCACTGAGTGGCCTCGTAGCAACCTGTTGAAGAAGGTACTCTAATCCTAAGCTGTGACCCGGCTGTGATTCTCCACACCAGTTAGGTAGGCATGCAGCTTGGCCATTGCCTGAAAGAACACACTCAGCCATAGCCAATGATGGAGACACTCTGAGCCCAGCGCCGCATGGTGCAAACATTCCTGTCCTCTTCCCATAGGTTGTCTTTTAGTCCACACCAGGTGTGCCTTGCAGGGGTGCTTTCCCCACCCCACAAAGGTAACTGGAGTATTTATCTATAAAGAAAATGTTAAGAGTAAATCACCTTGTTCCATGAGTTCTGCATAATGGTACTCACTTTATTGGTGGAGTTGGAAAATTTTAAATTCCATTTTGGTGTGAATTTATGAATTACTTACAAATGACCTCATTTAAAGGGCGGAAGGAATCGTGATCATTTACTATATTTCTTTTCTTTCTTTCTTTCTTTTTTTTTTGAGACAGTGTCTCACTCTGTTGCCCAGGCTAGAGTACGGCAGCATGATATCTGCCTACTGCAACCTCTGCCTCTCGGGTTCAACCAATTCTCCCACCTCAGCCTCCCAAGTAGCTGGGATTACAGGTGCACGCCACCATGCCTAGCTAATTTTTGTATTTTTAGTAGAGACGGGGATTCACCATGTTGGCTAGGCTGGTGTCAAACTTCTGGCCTCAAGTGATCCACCCGACTTGGCCTCCTAAAGTGCTGGGATTACAGGCGTGAGCAACTGCACCCAGCCTACTACATTTCTCTTTTGAACATGTTCTCTACTTAGTGTCCTAGTTTCTACATTGGATAAATTCTTTGTTTCAGCCAGCTCTCAATGAAAAGACTATGACTACAGCACCATTGCTTCAGACAAGCAGCATTGGAATAGTCCAGCTTGTTCACTTCTTCTTTAAGAGACAGAGTCTCACTCTGTTACCCATGCTGGAGTGCAGTGGTGTAATCATGGCTCACTGCAGCCTCACTCTCCTAGGTTCAAGTGATCCTCCTCCTCAGCTTCACAAGTAGCTGGAACCACAAGTGCACCCGACCGTGTCTGGCTAATATTTCATTTTTTTGTAGCACAAGTTCTCCCTATGTTGCCCAGGCTAGTCTCTAACTCCTGGCCTCAAGCCATCCTCCTGCCTCAGCCTCTCAAAGTGCTGGGATTACAGGCCACTGTGCTGGTCTCTTGCTCATTTTTTTACACTTCCTCATGTGTTTCCTCATCAGCTTCTTTAAGTATCATAATTTCTTTCATGTCTCCAAAAATCATATTTAAATATTTATCATAAGCCTGGTCCATGCTGCCAATGTCTAAACCTTCTAATATTTTCCTTTCCTTTCTTTTCTATCCCCTCTTCCTCAGGAGCCTGGCTTCATTATACCACTGGCCATTGTGTTTAAATTAAGGACAAAAGACACAAGTTGGCCACTCTGGTAAAGATGAGAAGAAGCAAGAGGGAGAAGGAGGCAGAGACGTGATAATTCTTCATCTCACATTCGTATATAATGTCAGTGGTTCTTGGGAACTTTAAGCAGCTTTTCCTTGTTACCCAACTAGAAGGTAGCAGACCTAGAAGTTGAGCCTGGGTCAGTGAGGCTCCAAACCCCCTGCTGTTTCCATTACATCACACTACTTTCCATAGCAGCAAAATCCCATTAAACACAGGTATTGGGTAAAAATGATGGGCTGACTTTGTGTGAATAGATGGAATCATGAAGAGTTCACTAAATAGGTCTGCATGTGTGACTTTGGAAAGAAGGCAGACTAAATGAAGGAACTTTCTTCAGATCATCAACACTGTGAATGACAAAGCTTTGCTCTGTATCATGCTGGAAGTTTTGGGACCATGCTAGATGTTTTGAGAACACACGAAACATCCTATAAGACTGCACTCAAGGGACTTATAGTCTAGGTGAAGGAAAAAATCAGGCGTAGAGCACACACAAACTAGATAATTAAGGTGAGTTTAAGGGACTAATTTATTTATAAAGATGTGGGTGGGCCAGGCACAGTGGCTCACGCCTATAATCCCAGCACTTTGGGAGGCTGAGGTGGGTGGATCACAAGGTCAGGAGTTTGAGACCAGCCTGGCCAATATGGTGAAACCCCCTCTCTACTAAAAATACAAAAAATTAGCCAGGCGTGGTGGCTGGTGCCAGCACTCGGGAGACTGAGGCAGGAGAATCACTTGAACCTGGGAGGTGGAGGTTGCAGTGAGCCGAGATCACACCACTGTACTCCAGCCTGGGCGACAGAGCAAGACTCCATCACACACACACACACACACACACACACACACACACAAAGATGTGGGTGAGGTTTAGGGAATTGGAAGAGAAAAATGCAGTACCCTGGGTTCTAGCAACAGTAGGGTTTGGTTACCCATGCCTCCAAAACATGCAGGGGAAAGGGGAAGGAACAGAGCATAGCTGCATGAAGAGGGAGGGACACACCCCTCTTTCAGGAGCTGTGATCTTCAGTAAAGGGAAGCAACCAACCCATGGTGACCCATCAGGGAGGGAGCCATAGTAATAAATACCCCAATCTCAACTTCTCCGCTCTTCAATCTCCTGGTGATTCTTCCTGTTAGCTAACCCCAACCAGAAGCTAGAGGGCGAGCATTGATTCCATCTGAAAAGACCAGTCCCGTAGTTACAGCAAGAAATGAGAAGAGGTAGAAATGAATCTGAAAGGGCAATTTTATAAACTTTAATTTGTAAGATAAATTAAAAGGTAGCTTTATAAATTGATACACCATTTAAGTGTATTGTGAAGGTTGCAAATTACAAGAGTATTCCTGTAAATCATTTTGTGAAACATACCTTCATGCATTTTCAATTCACTGTATCCTTTATTTTATTTTTTAATAGATGGAGCCTCGCTCTGTTGCTCAGAGTAGAGTACAGTGTCTGTTCACAGGTGTAATTACGGTTAACTGCAGCCTTAAACTCCTGGGCCCAAGGAATCCTCCCACCTCAGTCTTCCAAGTAGCTAGGACTACAGGTATGTGCCACTATGCCTGGCCACAGCATCATTTTAATATATCCTGATGTTCTCTTATGGGTTAGTTTCATGTAAAAATTGCCCAAATTAAATGTTGAGATAGACTGGCTTCCTGGCTTACCCAAAGTGAGCCAGGGTAAGCTCACTTACCTTTAGCCAGAGGTGAGCTAAAACCTGAATTGAGCACATTTCAGTTGCATTGTATAGGCAATGTTTTTGCTCATTTTTTTTCCATTGCATAACTTTATTCCACTCTCTGAGATGTTTCTCCATGCCCTTTTCCATCATTTTTTCATATCTCCCTTGCTTCCATTTTTACTCTCTCCTTCTTTCCTCCAATAAAAAGGGCTTCTTGGCTCACACCTCCATCAACAGACGCTTGGAAATAACGCACCATGGCAGGTTTTCAAATATTTTTTCTTTCCTCCCTCCAGAGAGAAAAACAAAAGGGTAAAGATGGCTTGAGGGATTGGATCAGAACATTGTTTTACTGGAATTTGCAGCTGTTTCTGGATTGCAGAAGTCACTGGAGGGAAACAATGTGCTCAGGGACTGAAGGAAATGGTTTGGCTCCAATCTGTCCCAAGTCATCAGGGGAGGAATTTTTTCATTGTTACAAAGGTTGTTACTCCATAAAGATTTTGCATCTCTCTACAGAGAGTGTGTGTCTGAGGAGAGGCATGGGAAATTCACATAGGATGGGAGCAAAAAAAGGCCAAGGTAAAATGCTAGTGAAAGGCAAAGGCAGAAAATAACTGACCTTTGGTCAGGACACAGTCCATTTTCTGGGTTCTGGCCTAGACATGCAGCTCATGAAAGATTCAGACTTTATTTCTTATAGTCTAAGAGCTAGGTGAGCCAATGAGAGTTTCCTTTTTTACCAAGCAGGCAAAATGAAGATGGGCTTTATATAGACAGGTGGATCCAGTAATAAATGAATGAGAGACTCATTTGGCTTCTCATTGATGAAAAGCTGGATTTATGTGCTTAAGTACTGCTGGCTCTGTATCTATAGGGAACAAATAAATCTGTACACACCTTTGCACTTCTATGTATGCATTACTGGTACTGTTTGAAGAGGCCTCTGGAACTGTGTGTTTTCCTTCCAGGGTGCTCTTCCTTCCATGCATCCTGTCATCTCTATGGAAGGAGCCTGTAGAACACCTGCAGTTAGGCAGAGATCAGGCTAGGTGGGCAACTGTGGTCTCCTACCCACCTACCAACACTCATTCCCGCTCCTCTTGGTAGATGTTCCTGTTTACTTTTAGGTTCACATATATTCTTCTTTCTTTTTTTTTTTTTTTTTAAGAAAGTTAGTGTATGGATTGAAAGCTGTCCCTACCAAAAGATGTTGACATACCAACCCCCAGTACCTATGAAGGTGGCTTTATTTGAAAATGGGGTCTTTTCAGATGATCAAGTTAAGATGAGGTCACTAGGGCAGGCTGTAACTCAGTGTGACTGATGTCCTTTTAAAAAGAGGAAATTTGGCCGGGTGCGGTGGCTCACGCCTGTAATCCCAACACGTTGGGAGGCCGAGGTGGGCGGATCACGAGGTCAGGAGATCGAGACCATCCTGGTTAACATGGTAAAACCCCATCTCTACTAAAAAAAATACAAAAAAATTAGCCGGGTGTGGTGGTGGGCTACTCAGGAGGCTGAGGCAGGAGAATTGCTTGAACCCGGGAGGCGGAGGTTGCAGTGAGCCAAGATTGCGCCACTGCACTCCAGCCTGGGGGACAGAGCGAGACTCCGTCTCAAAAAAAAAAAAAAAAAGAGGAAATTTAGACAGAGACAGACATGCATGGAGAGAGTACAATGTGAAAACATAGGGAAAAGACAGTCATCTACAAACCAAGGAATACCTGAGGCTACAGAAGCAAGGAGAGAGACGAGGAACAGATTCTCCCTCACAGTCCTCAGAAGGGACCAACCCCACCAACACTTTGATTTCAGACTTTCAGCCTCCAGAACTGTGAAGCACATTTCTGTTGTTTAAGCCACCAGTTTGTGGTACTGTGTTTTGGCAGTATACAGTTAAGTTTGATAAAAATCTTCTGGTACAATCTTGTTTCTCCCAATGACGAAACTGAAGTTCAACAAATAAAATGACTTACGCAGTTGTGGATGCGGTTGGTGGACAGGACTCTAAATTCCCAGATCATTCCTCTATCCATTGCTATAACTGGTGTGATTTGGATAAATCACAATATCAGGCTTCTACCATTGGGTCCAGAGGATGGAGCAGTGTCACTCCTATCTTGTAATATACACACTACTAGACTTTAACAGTTTAAGACAAGACTTTGGCATTATTAATGTGGAGTGGGTATGCTTCTCCTGTACTTTCAGTGTTAATGGGCTTTGCTTACGCTCACCGGCTCATCTTTTTGGTTTTTTGTTTGTTTGTTTGTTTGTTTAGAGAGAGTCTAGCTGTGTCACCCAGGCTGGAGTGCAGTGGCACGATCTCGGCTCACTGCAACCTCCGCCTCCCGGGTTCAAGCAATTCTCTGTCTCAGCCTCCCGAGTAGCTGGGACTATAGGCGCACGCCACCATGCCTGGCTAATTTTTGTATTTTTAGTAGAGACAGGGTTTTGCCATGTTGGCCAGACTGGTCTTGAACTCTTGATCTAAGGTGATCCACCCACTTCAGCCTCCCAAAGTGCTGAGATTACAAACTCGAGCCACTGCGCCCAGCCTCACTGGCTCATCTTTTAAAAAGCCATAGGAGCTTGAAGAGATTGCTAGCTAGGTTACATAGCCAAGTTACACCTTATATGTAAAAAGAGCTGGGGCACTTATTGGGAAAGTCAAGGACAATTTCATCTACATCTGGTCACTTCTCTTACAAAAATCTGAAGTTCTGATAAAGCTATTGGAGCTCCCTGGGCCAGGCAAAGTTGTGACAGGTGAGAGGTGCAGAGTGTGTCCTACTTGCAAGCTGTTGGTGACAGAGAGCTTCTCTGCTCCTCTGTCTTCACAGCTATAAAATAACTGGTTGCCATCTTTAGAGAAGGAAAGAACTTAGTCTGCCTGCCTGCTATGGTTTGAATGTTTGTCCTCTCCAAAACTCATGTGGAAATTCAATTGCCAATGTAATGATATTGGGAGGTGGAGCCTTTAAGAGGTAATTAGGCCATGGGTGGGCTTAATGCCTTTCTAAAAGGGCTTTTGGGAGTGGGTTCTCTCTCTTTTTGTTCCTGGACTCTTCTGCCAACAGCAAGTCCCCCACCCCATTCCCCGGAGAATGCAGCATTCAAGGTGCCATCTTGGAACCAAAGACTGGGTCTTCACCAGACAACAGACCTGCTGGTGCCTTGATCTTGGACTTCCCAGCCTCCAGAACTGTTAAGAAATAAATTTCTCTTCTTTATAAGTTACCCAGTCTCAGGTATTCTGTCACAGCAACACAAAGCAGACTAAAATATTGCCTCATTTTTCTCCGGCTTCTCCTGGGGCCCAGCACACTGCCTGGCACTGCCCTTGTGTGTGGTGGGCATGTTAGGGCCCACTAAGCTCTCCACACCTGACTCTCTTTTGGTCCTTAGTTGGAGCTTTCAAGGGTCAGTCTCCAAGCTTCCATCTGACATGGCAGGGGAGGCAGGGCCGGGAAGTCAGTCGTTTTGCTTCCTCTCTTTCTTTGGATGCTAGCAGAGCTCACACTTCACACACACTTCCTACAGGCTTCTCTGCTCACTGCTCCCAAGTAGCTGCTCCATGCTACTTGGAGGAGTGGTTAGTACAGTCATCCCTCAGTAGTCATGGGGGATTGGTTCCAGGACCCCCTGTGAATACCAAAATTCACAGATGCTCAAGCCCCTGATCTAAAGTGGCAAGTACTTGCATATAACCTATGCACATCCTCCTTATACTTTTTTTTTTTTTTTTTTGAGATGGAGTCTTACTCTGTCACCCACATTGGAGTGCAGTGGCACCATCTTGGCTCACTGCAACCTCCATCTCCCAGGTTCAAGTGATTCTTGTGCCTCAGCCTCCCAAGTAGCTAGGACTACAGGCATGTGCCACCATGCCCAGCTAATTTTTTTGTATTTTTAGTAGAGATAGGGTTTCGCCATGTTGGCCAGGCTGGTCTCAAACTCCTGACCTCAGGTGATCCACCCGTCTCAGCCTCCCAAAATGCTGGGATTACAGGTGTGAGCAACCACCCCCGGCTGCTCCTGCATACCTTAAATCATCTCTAGAATACTTGTAATAGCTTATACAATATAAATGCTATGTAAATTGTTGTACTGTATTGTTTAGAGAATAACGAAAAGGAAAAAGTCTGCACATGTTCAATATGAATGCAACCATCCATTTAAAAAATTCTCTAGGGCCAGGCCCAGTGGCTCACACCTGTAATGCCAGCACTTTGGGGGCTGAGGCAGGTGGATCATGAGGTCAAGAGATTGAGACCATTCTGGCCAACATGGTGAAACCTCATCTCTACTAAAAATACAAAAATTAGCTGGGTGTGGAGATGCGTGCCTGTAGTCCCAGCTACTGGGGAGGCTGAGCAGGAGAATTGCTTGAAACTGGGAGGTGGAGGTTGCAGTGAGCCAAGATGACACCACTGTACTCCAGCCTGGTGACAGAGCAAGACTCTGTCTCAAAAAAAAAAAAGATAAAAAATAATAAATTCTCTAATATGTTTGATCTATAGTTGGTTGAATCCATGGATGTGGAATCCATGGATGTGGAATCCATGGATACGGAGGGCCTACTGAAATTGGATTTGTACTGGGAGAGAAAGGTTTCAGGAATTAACCTTTATGCCATCATTATCTGATTTTGAGAATTATGGGGAAACACCACACACTAAAATGTTCAATTTATGTACAAGACTTTGGGCCAAAAGGACATAAATTACCAACATAATAACTGAAAGAAACAAGTTTCTAGAGAAGATTGGAATTTGTTTGCCTACCTAGTTTTGGTCTTGTAACTTGAGAAGTGTAGAGAAATTTTAGTGAAGCAGAGAGTTAGAAAAGTAGGGAAGAAGAGCAAAGAGCCATGTGATCACCACCTGATCCAATTTGAACCCCTATGGCTAAATAAACATCAGCAAAAAGCTGACCCAACAGTTTAAGAGAGATTTGGTGAGATTCTGGCAACACACAGAACTTCTTCACAAAGGGCTGCATTATGACTTTCAAAGGCCCTGTGTACTTTTACCTTCTTGGGCCCTTTTCTCATTAAAAAAAATTAAAATGGTATTTTACAACTACATTGGTATAAAGGTGAATATATTAATATTATATATTAAAACATTTTATTTGATCCTAAAGTTCATTTTTTCTTCTGATTTTAAAAGAAATTAAAACTATTTCATGAGATCCTAATAGTATTGTGGGCCCTAGGTGCTGTGCCTACCGTGCTAATGGTTAAGCCAGCCCAGGCCTTATGGCCCTGGGAACAAAGTGTGGCATAGAGTGAGTTAGGGAGGAGGCCATTCTTTCAGCCTCTGCATGAAATTCAGGTTTACTCTGATATCCTCATGATAAAAAGCCTCAGGAAGTTCCAGAGATAGCACCTGTGACATGGACTTTGGCATTCATGTGATGGGTGGTGGCACAGATAAGGCTGCCCTAAGTGGTTCTGAGACCAACACACATGATCGAGTGGGAACTGAAGCAGAAGAGGAGAATCAGGATGGAGAATTCATGACGACTGTGGTGACAGACTGAGTTTTTCATATTTTGACATATTATTCAAGGCGTTTGCCTCCTGTAAGTCCTTATATCTTCACCCTTCTCCAATGTTAACTAGCATTTATTGCTGCAGAGGACAAATGCTATGATAGAGAAGTATAGAGTTTCAAAAGTCAATACTCCCTCCATTATTTTTATTAAAGTATAATTTATTGACAGTAAAATTTATCAAATTTAGTGTGCAGTTCTGTGAATTTTAACAAAAGTATATAGTCATGGAACCAGCACCACAATCAAGTTCCATCATTCCCCCCAAATTCTCCAGTATCTCTTTGTAGTCGGCCCTTTCCCTGACCGCAGCCCCAACAACTGCAGATGTTTTCTGCTGCTATTGTTTTGCCTTTGCAAGAATATCACACCAACGGAATCCTACTGTATGTAACCTTTTGGCTCTGTCTTCTTTCACGTAGCGTAACGTATTTGAGATTTCATACATGTTGTGTGTATCAGTAGTTTTGTTCTTTTTAAAAATTGTGTAAAATATATATAACATAAAATTTACAATTTTAACCATTTTAAGTTTACAATTCAGTGACATTAGCTACATGCACACTGTTGGCAACCATCACCACCATCCATCTCCAGAACTTTTTCCTAAAATGAAACTCTGTATCCATTAAATAAACCCCCCTCCCCCATTCTTCCCTCTCCCAGCCCCTGGTAAACTGGATTCTACTTTCTGTCTCCATCAATTTGTCTATTTCAATTACCTCACATAAGGGAATTATGCAATATATGTCCTATTGTCTCTAGCTTATCTCACTTAACATAGTGTTTTTAAGGTTGATCCATGCTGTAGCATGTATCAGAATTTCATTCTTTCTTAAGAGTGGATAATATTCCATTGTATGCATATGCCACATTTTGTGAATCATTCATCTGTTGATGGACATTTGCATTGCTTCTGCCTTTGGGCTATTGTAAATAATGCTGCTATACATACTGGCATGTTTGTTCCTTTTTATTGCTGAGAAGTACTGTATCACTTTTTATGGATGTACTACAATTTGCTTATTTACTGACCTGTTGAGGGACATTGGGTTGTTTCCTGTGTTGGGTGACTGTGAATGAAGCCATTGTAAACATCTGTGTTTATAAATGTTTACATTTATAAATACCTAGGAGTGGGATTGCTGGGTCATATGGTACAGATATGTTCAACTTTATAAGAAAATGCCAAAGTGGTTTTCCAAAGTAACTGTATTATTTTGCATGCCTACCAGCAAAATATGAGCACTCCAGTTGCTCCACACCCGTTAGCACTTGATATTGTCAGTAATTTTATTTATCAGTTATTACCCATTTTAGTTGGTGTGGAGTGGCATCTCATTGTAGTTTTAATTTGCATTTTGCTAATGACTAATGATGTTGTGTGTCTTCTCATGCGCTTATTTGTCATCTGCACATTTTTTTTGGTGAAGGTTATGTTCAGCTCCCTTACTCTCTTTTTAAGTCAGGTAAGCCAATACTTTCGATTTTTGAGCCTGGAGTTTTGTGTGTCAAAAGCCTCCATTCCATTCCAGCACAACCTCTTGACAGTGATTGTAGGGATTTCCTTCACCTGAAGCCAGAGCCAGCACTGCTTATTACCATCATTCTCCAAGTGAACAAGCCAATCAGTGTAGGGCAAATGATTCACTGTAGATTGAATAAATACTTTTTATGCCAAATGACAGAGAACCTGGTAGCAAATCTATCAGACTAACCCAGAGATCCCATCTCTTCCCAGAGTGGTAGAAAGAGTGTAGGTTTTGGAATTAGACAAATATGCTTTGAAACATGGTATTACCCATCATGAGCTGTGTGTCTCTGAGCATAGTACTTTAGCACTTCAAGCATTATTTTCCTTATCTGTTAAACGGGGATAAGAATCACTACCTCTGGTGCAATTCTGATGCTAGCTACCCAGAGTGAGGACAAATTTCACAGGTTGAAGGCACAGTCCTCTATAATACTCCCCTCACTTCAGACACCCACCACAAGCTCTGGGACCCCCAGGCCACCTGCACTTTTGACCAACTGGCTACAAATTTAGGGGTTCTTACTACTACCTCAGCTTTGATAATTCACTAGAAAAGCTCACAGAACTCAGGAAAGCACTATATTAATGATTGCAGCTTTATTATAAAGGACACAAATCAGGACCAGCTAAATGAAGAGATACGTAGTGTGAGGTCTAGGAGGAGGGTTCTCAAATGCAGGAGCTCTCATGTCCTCTGGACACATACCCTTCCCAGCATGTCAGTGTGTGTCTTAGTCAGTTCTGGCTGCTATAAAAAAATACCATAGACTGAGTGGCTTAAACAACAGAAATTTATTTCTCACAGTTCTAGAGGCTGGCAAGTCCAGGTTCTGGTGAGGGCCCTCTTCCTGGTTTGCAGACACACACCTTCTTGATGTATCCTCATATGGCAGAGAAAGAGATCATCTCTCTGCGTCTCTTCTTATAAGGTCACTAATCTCATCCCTGCAGGTAGAGCCAGAGCCAGCATTGCTTTTTACCCCCCAAAGGCCTCCCCTATAAATACTGTTACATTGGAGACCTGGGATTCAACATAGGAATTTTGGGAAGATACATTCAGTCCATAGCAGTGTTTATAGTCAACCAGGAACTTTGATGGCACTTCAGTGTCCAGGGTTTTTACTGGGGTTTCATTGAATAGCCATGATTGATAGAATCACTGGCCCCATGATTAAGCTCAATCTCCCGCCCTTCTCCTCTTCCTTCCATGGAGGTTATGTGATAGCCCATGGCTCTAAGCCCCAACCCTTTAATCACATGGTTGGTCTTTCTGGTGTGAACAAACCCTATCCTGTGTCACCTCATTAGCATTAACTCAGGTGTGGTTCTAGGGACCCACCATGAATAACAAGGCACTCTTATTACTCAGGAAATTCCAAGAATTTAGTCTCTTTCCCAGGAACCAGGAAAAAGACCAAATTCTTTATTACATAACACTATCTAGCAGATTTGTCACAATAATAAAAATTTATACCCATAATGCATTTAAAACAGTATGATACATAGCAGGTACTCAATAAATGATAATTATTAGTTATTAACATGTGATAGCTCATATTATAAACTATTAAGGAAAGGTTTTTCTTTTTATAACACCTGTAGAGTATTGCATGTAAAAGGACACTTAATAAGGCATTTTGATGATGAAGGAATTACTCTGTTGTATTATAAAATCTCTTTTTACTAAGGATGTTATTTCTATGTGAAATTAGTACCAGGTGCTCTTTTCAAAATAAAAACTCATTAGCAGATCTTTTAGTTGTGAGACAGAAGGGATTAAATGGAAAGAGGCCAACATTATTAATGATTATGTTGATACTGATACATTTTAATTTTTTATTTTTAACTCACAGAGTTCAAAGGGGGTTGAAATATATATGTTCATACAAATGGCCTTTTGTGCCATTGGAGATAACTCCAAAAATGTTTGCGCTATTTGCCCTATGATAGGCGTAAGCTCCTACTTTAACATACAGTAATTTCAGTGAACTTACGAGCTCCCAGTTCTGAATTCTTAATTGAGGAAGCCCATGACCACATTCTTAGTATTTTGAATGCTTAGCTACATCACTAGTGATATTTAATGACATGCAAATTTGTATTAGGGTTCTCCAGAGAAACAGAAGCAATAGGATGGATGTGTGCGTGTGTGTGTGTGCATATGCACGTGTGTGTGGGTACACGTGTGTGTGTGTGTGTGTGTGTGTGTGTGTGTGTGTGTGTGTAAAGAGATTTATTCTAAAGGAATCGCCTCACCCAATTGTGGAAGCCTGATACATCCAAAATCTGACACGGGAGGCTAACTGGCCAGAGATGTAGGAAAGGGTTTCAGTTCAAGTCCAAAGACAGTCTGCTAGTGAACCAGGAAGAGCTGATGTTTCAGAAGAAATTTGAAGGCAGTTGGCTGGCAGAATTCCCTCTTGCTCAGGGGAGGTGAGCCTTTTGTGCTATTCAGGCCTTCAACTGATTTGGCGTGGCCCACCACACCATGGGGGGCAGTCTGCTTTACTCAGAGTCCATTGATTTAAAAAGCAAATCTCATCCAAAAACACTCCCACAAAAACATCCAGAATAACTTTTGGCCAAATATCTGGGCACTGTGGCGCGGTCAAGTTGACACAGAAAATGAATCATCACAGAATGATTATCTCTAATATATGCACTGAGGTGTTATGATGTGACACGAGCGCTTCCAACATATACAAAAAAATGATCAGACGAAGTACTCCAAAATAGTTTGTGCAATTGTGTTAAGATAGTCAAAGTAGAATCATTTGTTATTTTTTCCTGAGCTCCTGGCTTGAGGAAAGGCCTAGTTCAAAGAGGAATTAGGCATATTAGGATAAACCTCAGCCTAGGGCAACTGGGTGTAGCCCGAGGAATATAGATATAACCATGGATGGGGGAACCCATGGACAGGACCCAACCAGAAAGATTCCTCTAAAAAGGTGAAGAAAGAACTCTCAGAGCTGGAGTTTCATTTTATTTATTTATTTATTTATTCATTCATTTATTTATTTAGGACAGAGTCTTGCTCTGGTGCCCAGGCTGGAGTGCAGTGCATGATCTCGGCTCACTGCAACCTCCACCTCCCTGGTTCAAGCGATTCTTGTGCCTCAGCCTCCCGAGTAGCTGGGACTACAGGCATGCGCCACCACACCTGGCAAATATTTATATTTTTGGTAGAGACAGGGTTTTACCATATCGGCCAGGCTGGTCTCAAACTCCTGATAAGTGATCCTCCTGCCTCAGCCTCCCAAAGTGCTGGGATTACAGGTGTGAGCCACCGCACCTGGCTTGGAGTTTCACCTATGATTTTAACATTCACTAAGCAAAAGAGGAAGAGGGAGGGAATGAGGAGAAATATGGAAGAGAATGAGAAAATGTCAACAACAGGCTCGTCACGACACAGAGAAACAAGTTTAGATCAAGAACTGGCCTGCTTCACGCAGAAATTATGCTCATTTTACTTAATGGGTTTGCTAGACAAGCTGACTCGTACATTTGCTATTTTCCTCATCTTTTATACGTGCACTTCCCTTGCCTTTCAGGCCCGGATGGAAATTTTGCTCCTGTTACATTTTGTTAAATGAAAAAGCTTCGGTGAGTTCTATTAAATCAGCTTCATACATCAGCTTCTCTGTTCCTTAATCATTTATCCTGCTCTTTCCTGGACTCTCTCCCACTTATCTCTTTGCGGCATGGAGTTATCCATGGCTGAACACAGTGTCCTTGATCAGAGCATGACTGTTCCCTCACGTCCTCTCTCCTAACTCTCCTCAGTCCTTTCTCTCCATCCCTCCTTTCCAAAGTCCTCCTGTTAGTGAAGCGCGTTTTAGACATCGCTTTCTTCTCAGCTCTGCCCCCAGACAAGACTCTGGGCCAAATCTTATCTAAGCACTTCTCGTGGGTGTCTCCGTATTTGTCTACAAACTTGGCAAACTTCTTCAGGCCAGAGTGACATATGGTGGTGCACTCCTGAACCAGGAAACTCCCACAGAAAGCGTGGTGAAATTGGGGCTCTCAGAGCATCTAGGGGCTGGAATTCAGTGCTAATGGTGAGAAAACTGTTAGGGGGGCCTCAGGCTAAACTTAGACAAACTGTGAAGCTGGCAGAATTTATTTTTAGGCTGACCACTTTTCCTTCCGCCCTTATGAGCCCTCCTCCAAGTTTTCAATGTCCACAGATGCCTCCTGGATGTTCTGGTCTCCTTTCCCAGACCTGCCCAAACTGGACAGCCAGTAAGATTCTGTGTCTAGCTCTCTATGCTTACACTTATTCGAATGTACATTTAATTAGCTCTCAGCCAATAATAAAAGGGCAAAATGATTGGAAACAATCCTTCACCAAAGAAGATATAGAGATGGCAAATAAGTACATGAAACGATGACCAACAACATTAGCCAATAGGTGCAGTGGTTCACATCAGCAACCCCAATATTTTGGGAGGCTGAGGTGAGCGGATCGCTTGAGCCTAGGAGTTTCAAAGCAGCCTGGGCAACATGTTGAAACCCTGTCTCTACAAAAGATACAAAAAATTAGCTGGGTGTGGTGGCGTGTACCTGCAGTACCAGCTACTCAGGAGGCTGAGGTGGGAGGATCACCTGAGCCCAGGAGGCTGAGTCTGCAGTGAGCTGTGATGGCACCATTTCACTCAAGCCTGGGCAACAGAGAGAGACCCTGTCTCAATAACAACAAAAAATTAGTCATTAGGGAAATGCAAATTAAAACCACAATGAGATACCCTTATGCATTCACCAGAGTGGTTAAAATTAAAAACATTTACCAGACCCTGTGATGTAAAGCAACTGGAAGTCACATATGACGCTGATGGGAATCCAAAATGGTACAGCTGCTTTGGAAAATAGTTTTGACAGTTTCTTTAAAAGGGAAACATACATGTACTATGTAACCCAGCCATTCCATTTCTAGGTATTTACTCAAGAGAAATGAAAGCATATCTCCACACAAGAGACTTGTATACAAATGTTCATTGCAGTTTCATTTGCAATAGCCCCAGAACTGTAAACAACCTCTATTAGTTTGCTCAGGTGCCACAACAAAATGCCACAGAGTCTCTGGCTTAAACAACAGGAATGTATTTTTTCACAGTTCTGGAGGTCAGAAAGTCCCACACCAAGGTTCTGATCAGGTTCTGGCTCCGGTGAGGGCCCTCTTCCTGGCTTGCAGATGGCCACTTTGTCTTCATGTGGCCTTTCCTCTGAGTGTGCTCCAGGGATAAAAGGAGAGCAGGAGGAAGAAGGAGAGGAGGAGTGGAAGGAGAAAGGGAAACTAGGCCTGAGAAACCTTGCAGCTTCCACCAGAACCCTCATAGCATGCTCCTGCAGCACGAGGCTACTGAATGACATCAGCTGAGAGGAAGAGCTGACAGCTAGCACTCAGGCCCCAGTCCTGTTAGTGAGGTCATCTTAGATCATTCTGCTCCAGTCAATTCGCCAGATGACTTCAAACTCACGAGTAACTCCAGGTGAGACCAGCAGAAGAACTGCCCAGGTAAGCACAGCCCCAACTGCAGAATCCTTAACAAATAAATGGTTGTTGTTTTAAGTGGCTGAGTTCTGGAGGAGCTTGTTAGGTAGTCATAGATCACTGCAACACTCACCTAAGTGTGTGAAATCTAAGGCAGTTCCCAGCAAGCACCTAAGAACCCATTTCTGATGTTTTCACCACCTTGCCCTGTAATAATGGGCACTTACCATCTGCACCACAATCATTTTGCTCTTCAAACGGGAACGTTACCATGTATTTCAAAGGGGTGTGTTGAAAAAATTATTTTTGTAGGATGTTTCTATATGCAGTTGAGTGGGAGTGAAGAGTTTGGAAACATATTTAGTAAGTGGGTCTATTTTGATAGCTCTGGCTAATAAGGTTTCTTTGTTGAGGCTGTCCTTAAATACACAATGTCAAGTTGTTCTCCAGCAGTCTTCAGACTACTGATTACTGCCTCTTCTCTCTTGTCCGTCCCTGTTCGCCTTTTTCTCTCCCAGTGGTCCTGTCATCTTTGGCACAGGACAGCTGAGATTGCTGCTGCAGCCTTGCCTTGGCCTTTATCCTCTTCATTTGGGAAATCCTGTATCTTATTTCTTTTTCTCCTAGTGCAGTGCTCTACAGGTATGATGAATGAGGAAACTATTAAACTGCTGATTCTTGGGTAGAAAGGCCCAAACAAGGTAAAACAAGGTAAAAAAAATTGACTATTTCATTAGAGAGAGAAGCTGCCCTTTAAAAGAGGTTCAAAGTTCTGACACTGCTGAAGGCAGTGTCTAGGATGTGTATGGCAAAAGACCGTGGGGGCAGATCTTGTTTGGCAAGAATTGTCTGAGTTGGCTCTTTAACTATGCGAAGTTAAAGCAAGTGGTGGTCCATCTTCCCAGAGGAATGAAGCAAACAGGGCCAGTTTTATGGCTAAGGTTTGGTCTAATCCCTGGTATGTAGCTGACTTCCAAAGAGGTTGGAGAAACGTGTTTTGGGGGCCAAGGACCCTACTTAAATGAAAGGGACCTAATACCCAAGCTACATCTCTCGAGGTTTAACATTATTTGATACTTCCAATGCCTAAGATGATCCCAACCAAGTCCAGAAGGCAGAAAGGGACATTAAGCCTCCCCAAGGGGCAACTTAAGTTGATGACAAGAGTTGACCGAAATGGCAATTTGTCTGAACACCAGCACTTAGGTTATCATATTGGAAAGGCTGGAATGGGCAGAGTATGTTAGGCTGGAAACCTTTCCTGGCCTAGTTACCTAGCACTTTTTGAATGAGCTTTGGAAACAATACCTGTGTATATGAGTGTGACACACTGATGAAACTTTTTTAAAAATTTTTTGAGACAGGGTCTCGCTCTGCCACCCAGGCTGGAGTGCAGTGGTGAGATCTAAGCTCACTGCAGCCTCTGCCTTCCAGGTTCAAGCAATTCTCATGCCTCAGCCTCCCGAGTAGCTGGGATAGGTGTGCACCACCATGCCTGGCTAATTTTTGTATTTTTCATAGAGACGGGGTTTTGCCATGTTGGCCAGACTGGTCTTGAACTCCTGGCCTCAGGTGATCCACCCACCTCGGCCTCCCAAAAATGCTGGGATTACAAGCGTGAGCCACGACATTCGGCCTGATGAAACTTTAGAAGCTGAGGCCCGTACAGGTGTGGTAAGACCATTATAACGCCCAGGGGCTAAAACTCTGGCGTAATGAACAGTGGGGGAGAGACAACCTCTTTCTCTGTCTCTCACTCCCTGACTCTTTTCTCTCTGATGAATAATATTTAGTTAATATTTGGATGTGCATTTAATTGTGTTATTTGGATTCTCCATCCCTAGTGATATATAATCTGCATACTTTATAGATCTTGACTAGTAGTGGAAATAAATACTTAAAGTTTCTGTATCTAGATTCTTTGTCAAATATTTATTGTTCAAAGAAACACTGATATATGTAGATAAATAAAATTCTTATAATGAAGACATTTTGAAATAATATTTAGGCAAATTCTATTGTGAAAGGAGGCATGGAATGGTGGAAAGAACTCTGATTTAGTGATACTAAGACCTGAGTTCTGGTCCTAGATCTGCTATTAGTTAGCTGTATTACTGGCCTATTATTTATGATTCTATCAGTATTACTTTGGGGGGCAACTTCTATGATATTAGGAAGATATTTTCAAGAGGGACCTGTGTTGACTAGAAATACATAATGCTCATTAAGAAAATTTATAACGTAATCCCAGCTACTCGGGAGGCTGAGGCAGGAGAATCACTTGAACCCAGGAGGCAGAGGTTGCAGTGAGCCAAGATTGCGCCACAGCACTCCAGCCTGGGCAACAAAGTGAGACTCTATCTAAAAAAAAAAAAAAAAAAGAAAAGAAAGAAAATTTATAACAAAAAATATAGGCCTCTTTATTTTTATTTTTTAAAATTAGGGATGGGGTCTTACTATGTTGCCAGGCTGGTCTCAAACTCCTGGCCTCAAGCAATCCTCCTCCCTCAGTCTCCGGAAGTGCTGGGATTATAGGCATGACCCACCTGGCTCTAGCCTGTCTCTTTAATCACCACTTTTGTCCTGCTTTGGAATCCGATTCCTGATTTTATTTTTTGCTTTAGAAATGAGCAATAGGTAGTTTGGCAGAAGAGCGAACAGGTGTGGAGGGAGCTAACAGAGGTTTTGTTGAAACCACAGACTTGCTTTCCTGAAATAAGCATCAGCCTTCATCCAAATGCCTTGTGTAGATTTCCATAAATAAAAACCTGATGGTAAATATAGATTCATTAAAGGGTCTTAAACTAGGAGCTAGGCTGTGCTGCAGGCTTGAGCAGGGGACACAACACAACTTCTCTATTTTATCCTTTTCTTCTTTTTCTTCACTCATCCATGAGCTTTTATCTGAAAAAGCAGAGAGCAGATGTGCCCGAACTCTTTGGTTACAAATACTTGATTGGCTAATTTGGTTCAAAAGATATTTATTTTGTAAGAGATGAAAATCCGGGGTGGCTACAGATTTAAAGGAATAACTGAACCCAGGGACCAGGCACCGTGATCTCAGCAGGGCTGAAGCTTTTCTATGTGGTGCTGCGGTGGCATGGCCCGGCTCCAACTGCCCTCTGCATTTGTGTCTCAGCTCAAAGTTCAAAGTCCCCAGAAAGTGATTCTGTTGCTCAGTTTAGGCCCTAAGTCCACCCTGTCTATGCTCAGGGGAGGGGTCATGTGATTAAAGTCTCACCAGAAGAACATGGAAGCAGGTGAGGCAGCTCCCCGAAAGTGTGTGTGTGAGTGGGGTTTAGCGGCTGTTACCAGAGGAGGAAGGCTGATGGGAAAACACCATGGTGTCCAAGGCTCTAGAACTTCTCAGAAAGAGCTGTGAGTGGCAGCTATGTCAGATACCTCCAAAATGCTCCCAGGGCACAACTGGGAAATTTCAGGAGCATTGAGAGCCAGTTGGCCAGAAGGCTGACATCCAGTGGCTGGTTTATATTTTAAAGACTGCAGCCAATGTTTTTTCTTCCTCTTCTTACAAGCTTGTAAACAGCTGGCATTCAATGATATTCATTGACTGATGGGATGAGTAAATGAATGATGACACAGCTGTTACATGGGCCAAGGGAGTCTTCTGCTCTACATTAGCCTTAGCAGAATTAGTTTAGGAACTGTTTAATGGTGATTGAAGCCCACCAGAGCTATCTTTAGCAAAAGCTGGCCCTTGGTGGGATATTGTTTACAGCAGGCAGGGACAGATGGGAACCAAGGCCTGAATGACAGGGAGCCTCTTGTTTTCATTCCTCTCTGAACGTCTACATGCTTTCTCTGGATGCAGTTTGGGTTTTTTTTTTCTTTTCTTTTTTTTTTTTGAGACGGAGTTTTACTCTTGTTGCCCAGGCTGGAGTGTAGTGGCATGATCTCAGCTCACTGAAACCTCCACCTTCCAGGGTTCAAGAGATTCTCCTGCCTCAGCCTCCCGAGTAGCTGGAATCACAGGTGCCCGCTACCATGCCTGGCTAATTTTTTGTGTTTTTAGTACAGATGGGGTTTCACCATGTTGTCCAGGCTGGTCTTGAACTCCTGACCTCAGGAGATCCACCCGCCTCAGCCTCCCAAAGTGCTGGGATTACAGGCGTGGGCCACCGTGCCTGGCCCAATTTGGTATTTTTAAATTTTCAGTCCACCTAGTCAGAAAATAGCTTTCTAAGCCTCCAGTGTTTGTATTTCCTCTGCTCAAGAGCCCAGAGTGACTGAGACTGAGCCACCTTCATTCCCATTCCTGGGGTCTGCACCTGGCTCAATCAACCAAAATGGCACCTGAGGAGGTGTTATCATGTGGATTTGGCAATCCACTGTTATCATGTGGATTTGGCTATAGGAGCAGTTCTTGGGAAAAAGGGGAGATTCAGGCAAACAACCCAATTGGTATCTCCCGCAAAGCCAAATAATAATTACTACTTGCTTACATTTGCATAGTGCTTTAAGGATACTTGTTATCCATGATCTCATTTGATTCTTGGCACAACCTTATGAGGTAGGCAAAACAGGTATTAATATTCTTACTTCACATCTACTTTATTTCACCTTGCTGTGGGTCTGTTTTTAAAAATTCCTATCTCGGCTGGGCACGGTGGCTCATGCCTGTAATCCCAGCACTTTGGGAGGCTGAGGCGGGCAGATCACGAGGTCAAGAGATCGAGACCGTCCTGGCCAACATGGTGAAACCCTGTCTCTACTAAAAATACAAAAATTAGCTGGGTGTGGTGGCATGCATCTGTAGTCCCAGCTACTCAGGAGGCTGAGGCAGGAGAATTGCTTGAACCTGGGAGGCAGAAGTTGCAGTGAGCCCAGATTGTGCCATTGCACTCCAGCCTGGCGACAGAGCAAGACCCTGTCTCAAAAAAAAAAAAAAAAAAAATTGTATCTCTTCTATTTGCCTTTACATTTATTGAGGGCGTAGATTATATCTTTTTACCTTTGCACTTAGATCTCTAGCACCTAGCTCTGGGCTCTGTACATGATGGGCATTTAATTGATATTTCTTTTCTTTTTCTTTTTTTTTTTTTTTGAGATGGAGTCTCACTCTATTGCCCAGGCTGGAGTGCAGTGGCACGATCTTGGCTCACTGCAACCTCCGCCTCCAGGGTTCAAGCCATTCTCCCGCCTCAGCCTCCCTTAGTTGATATTTCTTAAATTGAATTTCTGTTTTCCAGATGAGAAAACTGAGGTCCAGGCTGGGCGAGGTAGCTCACGCCTGTAATCTCAACACTTTGGGAGGCCAAGGAGGGAGGACCACTTGAGCTCAGGACTTTGGGACCAGCCTGGGCAACATTTGTGAAATCTTGTGTCTACTAAAAAAAAAAAAAAAAAAAAAAAAAGCTGGGCATAGTGATGCATGCCTCTAGTCCCAGCTACTTGGGAGGCTAAGCCAAGAGGATACCTTGGGCCTGGGAGATTGAGGCTGCAGTGATCAGTGATCATGCCACTGCACTCCAGCCTGGGTGACAGAGAGAAATTGTCAGAGAAAGAAAGAAAGAAAGAAAGAAAGAAAGAAAGAAAGAAAGAAAGAAAGAAAGAAAGAAAGAAAGAAAGAAAGAAAGAAAGAAAGAAAGAAAGAAAGAAAGAAAGGAAGGAAGGAAGAAAGAGAAAGAAAGAAAGAAAGAAAGAGAGAAAGAAAGAGAGAGAGAAAGAGAGAAAGAAAAAAGAAAGAAAGAAAGAAAGAAAGAAAGAAAGAAAGAAAGAAAGAAAGAGAAAGAAAGAAAGAAAGAAAGAGGAAGACAGAAAAAAACCTGAGGTCCAGAATGCTGAGTGGCTTGCTTTGGGACACACAACTCTAGGGACAGGAACCTAATGATCCGCAACCAGTTATCATCCCTCTATGTATCCAGTGGATGATTCATAACAACAGAGATAAGCCTTTGGAACCCCAGTTATATGGTGGCTTAGACTAGGTTCACACCTGAGAGGTCTCCAGCAGCTCAGAAAGACCATGCTGTAAGACAAAGCACCCAGGCTCTGAGGTTAGAAGCCTGAAGTCTGGTGGCCTCCAGGAAAACAATCTCAGCCCTCCAAGAAGGGTCCTTGCCAGAGGAGTTGGACAAGCACCTAAGGAAGGCAGGTTATTAAAACCTGAATTTTCTCAGGAGCTGACTCAACTTTCTTAGCTGCCTCACATTTGAGTTTGATGGGAGAGAAAGGAGAAAGAAGCTGAGGTAGACACTGCCTTTGTGAGAAGCTTCCCATCACCTGGCAGAAGGCAGTCAGGGACAGCTGCAAGCTAGAGCTTATGGTCTCTGAAGTGGGCAAGATCATACAGCTCCACCACTTACAAAATGACCTGGACAAGCCACTTCAGCTGTGTTCATTCTCCCAGAGTTGTGTGAGGGTTAAATGAGAAAATCTAAGTCATTTGTCATTACATAGGATTATCATCTCTTTTCATTCAAGGTAGGAAAAGCAAGAATTGTGCCAGGCAACGATGAAGAAGGCAAAGTCCCTTTCCTCAAAGACTGATGGTCAAGGGAGGGGAGTAAATGGCAGAGTAAAGTGGTGAGGGATCTAAGTGTGGGTCGATCCTGTGGGAACCCACAGAGGAAGCATCCCCTGTATCCTCAGGATAGTCAGGAAAGGCTCCCCAGAGTGTGGACCTTTTTTTTTTTTTTTTTTTTTTTTGAGATGGTGTCTCACTATGTCACCCAGGCTGGAGTGCAGTGGCATGATCTCAGCTCACTGCAGTCTTGATCTCCTGGGCTCAAGCAATCCTCCCACCTCAGCCTCCCAAGTAGTTGGGACTACAGGCGTGCACCACCATGCCCAACTAATTTTTTTTTTTTTTTTTTTTGTAGAGCTGGGGTTTTGCCATATTGCCTATGCTGGTCTCAGAACTCCTTGGGCTCAAGTGATTCACTTGCCTCGGCCTCCCAAAGTGCAGGGATTACAGGCATGAGCCACTGCACCCGGTCGGAGCTAGGTCTTAAAGGATAGGTAAGACTTCATCAGGCAGGAGAAGCTGTGTTTGCAGGAAATGGTGGGATTATGGCAGGGTGACTACGAGGACATGGAATTATAATATGGCTGAGGGTGACAGAACTATCATCAGACGCCGTCTTGTGTCATCAGACTCCTTGTATTTATGCTGCAGAGGCCACACTTGGCAGGCTGATTTCAGGGGCATCAATCAAGAAGTCTCTGTGAAGTCACAGGCTTTCAAGATTCTTCTTCCCTTGCTTGCTGGGAGTGGCTGTTCCTCTGTTCACC